>NW_025791819.1:0-294119 GCF_000001405.40 Homo sapiens | reverse complement strand
GAATTCAAGAAGTCTGCAGAAATTTGCATAAGTAAAGAGAAGCCAAATGTTAATAGCCAAGACAATGGGGAAAATGCCTCCAGGACATTTCAGAGACCTTCGTGGCAGCCCCTCCCATCACAGCCCTGGAGGCCTAGGAGGAAAAAATGGTTTCATGGGCCAGGCCCAGGACCCTGCTGCTCTGTGCAGCCTTGGGACATAATGTCCTGTGTACCAGCCACTCCAGCTCCAGCCCTGGCTAAAAGGGGTCAAGGTACAACTTGGGCCATTGCTTCAGATGGTGCAAGCCCCAAGACTTGGTGGTTTCTATGTGGTGTTGGGCCTGTTGGTGTGCAGAAGGCAAGAGATGAAGCTTGGGAGCCTCCACTTACATTTCAGAAGATGTATGGAAACATCTGGATGCCCAGGCAGAAGTCTGTTGCAGGGGCAGAGCCCTCATGGAGGACTTCTACTAGGGCAGTGTGGAGGGAAAATGTGGGTTCACAGCCCTCAGACAAAGTCACCACCAGGGTACTGCCTAGTGGAGTTGCGAGAAGAGGCCCACCATTCTCCAGACCCCCGAATGGTAGATCCACCAACAGCTTGCACCCTGTGCCTGCAAAGGCCACAGACACTCAACACCAGCCTGTAAAACCAGCTATTGCAGAGCCCTGCAGCCCTGCAGCCCTGCAGAGCCATAGGGGTGGAGCTTCTCAAGGCCTTGGGAGCCCACCCCTTGCATTAGTGTGGTCTGGATGTAAGACATGGAGTCAAAGGCCATTATTTTGGAGCTTTAAGATTTAATGACTGCCTGCTGGGTTTTTTAATTGCATGGGCCTGGAACTCCTTTGTTTTGGCTAATTTATCCCTCTTGGAATGGGTGTATTTATCCAATGCCTGTACCTCCATTGTATCTTTAAAGTAACTAACTTGCTTTTGATTTTACAGGCTCATAGGCAGAAGAGACTTGCCTTGTCTCAGATGAGACTTTAGACTTGGACTTCTGAGTTAATGCTGGAATGAGTTAAGGCTTTGGGGGACTGTTGGGAAGGCATGATTGTATTTTAAAATGTGAGAAGGACCTGAGATTTTGAATGGGTCAGGACCAGAATGATGTGATTTGTCTCTGTCCCCTCCCAAATCTCATGTCAAATTGTAATCCCCAATTTTGGAGGAGGGGCCTGGTGGGAGGTGATTGGATTGTGAAGGTGGTTTCTAATGGTTTAGCATCATCACTCTAGTGCTGTCTCGTGATAAAATTCTCATGAAATCTGGTTGTTTAAAAGTGTGTAGCACCACCCTCCCTCCCTTTCTCTTCCTCCTGTTCCAGCCATGTAAGACAACCCTCTTTTCTTTTCACCTTCAACTATGATTTTAAGTTTCCTGAGTCCTCCCTAGCCCCGCTTCTTGTAGATTCTGTGGAACTGTGAGCCAATTAAATCTCTTTTCTTTATAAATTACCCAGTCTCAGGTAGTTATTTATAGCAATGCAAGAACAGACTAATACAACTACACTAGAGAATATTTCCCTGGGCCAGCTGGCTAGACCAGGTTTCCACAACTAGATACCACCCAAAGGGTAAGTCAAGAAGGGTGCCAGTAAATTGTCCTTCATCCTCAAACTACCCCCTTACCAAAATACTGGGCTTTCCAATTTAAAAGGATTTCCATTATTTAATAAATGTTTGAAATATATCTGCTTTATACTCATATGACTGGGGCCAACTCTCTGAACACCAAATATACACAGAGGCCTGTATACAGTAAAGGAAAGATCAGACATGATGTTTTCAAAAAAGTCAAAGGTCACAGATCCAGAGAGAGAGAATACTGTAAAGAAGTAATAGGAGGTTATGACCAGAAACACAGTAATAAATATGCCTGATATAGGGAGGCATGAGGTTGCAGAAGGAGGCCAAATGATTATATATGTAAGAGACATTTGAAGCAGAGTGACTCCATCTTGAACAGAGCTGAGTAAAATGAGGCTAAGACCTACTGAGCTACATTCCCAGGAAGTTAGTCATCCTTAGTCACAAGATGTTTATGGTTAAGGGAACAGACTAATAATGTTTACTGAACAGACTTCAGAGTTAACAGACCAGAAAATGTCCTGATGTCTTGATATCCTAAGGACAAAAGCATTCTTTGTTCAAGAAAAAGTTTTGCTTTAAAGATAATATAGTTGGTATGGTGGCACATGCCTGTAATCCCAGCACTTTGGGAGGCCAAGGTGGGCAGATCTTTTGATCACAAGAGTTTGAGACCAGGCTGGGCAACATGGCAAAATCCTATTTCTATAAAAATTACAAAAATTAGCTGGGCATGCTGCTATGTAGCTCTAGTCCCAGCTACTCGGGAGGCTGAAGTGGGAAGATCATCTGAGCCCGGGGAGGTTGAGGCTGCAGGAGCCCTGATGGCACTACTACACTCCAGCCTGGGCAACAGAGGAGGCCCTCTCTCCAAAAAATATATATAATAATATAGATTATTGTCAAAGTCAGTGGTTACACAAAGATGAACCATCTTTTGTCACAAGCCCTTGAAGTAGAGCACACCTGCCCCATGGTTATTTTTTGCTTTATCTCATATAAAAACAAGCAGTGCACCTATGGTGGATGCATTCACCCTCGTGCTTTCAGGAATGCTCTGTTCTGTCAATAGAGTAGCCATTCTTTTGTTTATTTACTTCTCTAATAGACTTGCATTCACTTTACTTTGCATGCTCACTACAAATTCTTCCTTGTATGAGATCCAAGAACCCTTTCACTTGATCAGGATTCCTTTCTGATAACTGGTAATATGTGATAGAAAAATCATGAAGTAAGAAGAAAGTAGGATCAAAAGTAAGTCACAAGCAGTTCAAAGCCAAAGCTTGATTAAGAATGCCAGTGCTTTGGATGATTACTGATTACTTTTGTATTGTGATGCCTGCATGGTGAAATGACTTGGATTTAATGACCTTGGAATTATGCAGAACTCCACAGAATAGCATGATTTTTCCAGATGGTCTCAGTTACACGCATGAGAATACAAACCAAGAAGATTCAATAAAGCTTATTTGTAGTGTAATATTTTTTTCAGGCTCTCATGTTTCTTTAAAAACTTTAAGCAATTTTATCTCAGGTATGAATTGGAAAAAATTAAATAAATGATAACACACACACACACACACACACACACACACACACACACACACACATTTGTAACTACAAAGAAGTTAAAGACCCCATGAAGGTAAACGCTGACTAAAATATTCAGTCAGAGTAGATGTGACTTAGGCCCAAGCAGTTAGAGAATTCCCTGCAGTAAAGTGCAATATCATTGACTTTCATGGCAGAAGACAAAGCACACAGAGCATATTTTATATTACCAGTGCCAAGTACAGTACCTGGAATACAGTAGGAACTCTCTAAATATTTGTTGAACAAATGAGAGAAAGACATTGTTCAATGAAATGCAGCATTCATTGTAGTCAAAGAAAAGTCTGGCATCCATCTGATTATTCTTCTTCTGCCCATTCCACAAATATAAACAGAACACTTGCTCTGTGGTAGGAAAAATACTACATACATGATCGTTATACCTTCTCCCTATGGAACATATATTCTACTGCAAGAGACAGAAAAATAAGTAGACAAAATGAAATAATTTTAATTTTGGTAAGTACTAGAAGGAACTAAATAGCTTTTTAAAAATAGTTTTTAAATAGAGAATAGACAGCCTATTTAGTGAGGAAGGTTAGAAGAAAGCCTCTCTGAGAAAGTGACATTTACTCTGAAACCTGAAAATGAGAATGAACCAGCCATATGAGGAGACACTGTTAAATAATTCCAAGCAGTGAGCACAAAACCCCAGAGTAGCTGGAAAGAGAATGAGACGATAAATTATCAGAAAGAGGCTCTTTTGCAAGTTGCTTGTTTTCTATCTCTTCAACCCTGCATTCTTGGGATTCTAAAATTTTACTCACACGTACCTAGGTATTCTTTGCGAATGTTTGTGCTTTGGTGTGAACTTTAAAAAGCTTAATAACTAATAGTCTTTTAAACACAATTTTTTTCAGCTCTGAAATTTTTTTCTCCTTCTCATTCTTTCAATTGTGTATTTTGAAAACTCTGCTTTCACATACTTTAGAACTTCTTCATGTGTCTCCTCTGTCTAGTAATTCTTTTCTTATATTTTAAATCCTTGTTTTTTGACACTGAGTTCAGAATGATATTAATCTAGGAGAATGACATCAGCAGGATGGCAGATTAGAAGTGTTTAGCCCTTAAACCCCTAACAGAAACACAAATTTAAACAAATACTCAAGGACTAGAATACCTTTATGTGAGCCTGGGAGTCCAGTGGAGACGTTCTAGCATCAATGGAGCAAAAAATTCAAGAAGAAGGCAAGTAAAACAGTTTCACTTTACCTGTATAACCCCTCCTCCAAAAGAGCATAGCTCAGAGCCAAGAAAGAGCCCTTCAGCCTGTAATTTCTACCATGGAGAAAAGTGAGAGACAAATGAGCACCTGGCTTCCCCAGCCTTGCAAGATACTGCCCAGGAAACTCACTTCCATCTCATTCCACCCACCACAGTGAGGAAATTAGCAAAATTGAATCATTTTGGAGCAGTCAGGTATAGAGAAAGGGGAGGGTGCTCACAGCATCTTGTGTCCACATCTCAATAAACAGATGCAGATGCTACTGGCTAGCTCACACAGTTTACCAAGAGTCCCACTAATAAGCCTTATGGAATGTCTCACCTGCAGATCTCTCAACTACCTGACATACACTGCTAGCTGATATAACAATTATAAGTAAATGTACACCAAACATTGGGGCATCTAAATTTGTAAACAAATATTAATAGATTTGAAGGGAGAGATAGACTATAATAGAATAATAGTAAGAGACTTGAACACTTCACTTTCAGCAATGGACAGATCATGCAGACAGAAAATCAGTAAGGAAACAATGGACTTAAATAACACTTTAGACAAAATGGACTTAACAGACATACGCAGGACATTACATCCAACAGAAACAGAATACGCATTCTACTCAAGTGCACAAGGAACCTTCTTCAGGACTGATCATGTGTCAAGCCCCCAAAATGGTCTGAACAAACTTAGGACAAATGAAATGATATTGAATACAATTTCTGGTCACAATGGTATAAAATTTGAAATCAGTAACAGGAAGAATTTTAGAAAAATGATAAAGACATAGAATTAAACAACATGATCCTGAACAAACAATGAGTCATGGGATGAATTAAGAGGAAAATTAAAAAATATCTTAAGACGGATAAAAATGTATGCACAACATAACAAAATTTATGGGATGCAGCAGACATCATCTTAACATGGATGTTTATGACAATAAATACCTACATCAAAAAAAAAAAAAGAAAGATCTCAAAGAACCTAACACTATATCTCAAGGTATAGAAAAAGAAGAACAAACTAAGCCCAAATTCAGAAGAAAGAAAGAATCATCAGAGCTAAAATAAGTAAAATAGAGACTAGAAAAAACAGTCAAAAGGATTAATGAAACTAAGATTTGGTTTTTTGAGAAGAGGAACAAAATTGACAGACCTTTAGGTAGATTAAGAAAAAAAAACAGTAAAAAATCGAATAAATTTATAAATGAAGAGACATCATGACTGTGTAAACCCCAAAAAATCTGAGACAGGTCTCAGTTAATTTAGAAAGTTATTTGGCCAAGGTGGAGGACATGCACCCATGACCCAGCTTCAGGAGGTCCTGATGCTGGCGACCTACAAAATGAGAGAAAATATTTGAAAACCATGTATCTGATGAGAGGTTAATATCCAAAATATATAAGAAACCCCTACAATTAAATAGCAAAATAACTAATAACCTGATCAAAAGGTGGGCAATGGAATTTAATGAGCATTTATTTAAATGAAACATACAGATAGCCAACAGACATATGAAAAGGTGCTCAATATCACGAATCATCCAGGAAATGCAATAAAAACCACAATGAGATATTATGTCTCACCTGTCAGGATGGCTATTTAAAAAACAACAACAAAATATAACAGTGTTAGTTTGGATATGGAGAAAAAAAAATTCCCTTACACACTGTTGGTGGGAATGTAATTTGGTACAGCCTTGACAGTAAACAGCATGGAGGTTCCTCAAAACAGTACAAAATAGTTTACTATCTAATTTGATCCCTTATATTAGACAAGATGGACTCTAAAATTAAGGAAACAAAGGTATCTATGGGTTGAGGGTTCAGGACACAAGAAAAAAAACACACTTTGGTTAAACTCCCTAATAGTAGCTATCAGTCAAATTTTCAGACCTCTCTTAACTCTGATTTACATTCCAGACCCCTGCAACTGATTGGACAGAGGGCCAGTCTTACAAACATTCTTTCTTGATAAGCAATTACAGACTTTAAGACACTTTCAGTCAGCTTATAGAGGCTGTGCACAAACTGTCTTTGTGTCCTATAGTTCACCTTTTGACATAAAGAACCAACTTCTACCTCATTTTAATGATAAAACCCTATTTCAAAATGAACATAGGATGTATGTTATGTAAATGTTTGCCCTTTGTGCATACGATTAGCTCCCCTCATAATTATGTATAGCTTTTCCCCAAAACCTGTTTAATTGTATGACCTAATTGTGTGATACAGGCCCTGTGAGGCATAAAACCAAACCTGTTTTTCTCTCTTCTAAAAGAGAGCACATTTGTCACATGCCAGAGGCTGTTTCTTTCTAGTTTATAAACTGATATCACCAACGAAGCTCTTCTTTCTACTATTTAGCCATCCTGGTGGTGTTTTTTGACAACACCAGAAATCCCACTTATACATATTTATCCAAAGGAATTGAAAGCAGGATATTGAAGAGACACCTGAACTCCAGAACTCGCTGAAGCATTGTTCACAATAACCAAGATATGGAAATAACCTAAATTTTTATCAATGGACAAATGAATATGGAAAATGTGATAAATACACACAATGGTATATAATTTGGCCTCACAAAAGAAAATAAATCCTGCCATTTGTTACAACACAGATGAACCTGAAGTATATTGTACTAAGTGAAATAAGTCAAACATGTAAAGATAAATACTGTATGATTCCACTCATATGTGAGAGCTGAAATAGACAAACTCATAAAAGTAGAATGGTTGTTACCTAGAGCAGGCTAAAGGGGGAAATATGGATGGCAAAGCATATAAAGCTTCACTTACACAAGATAAATAAGTTCTGGAAATAGACTATACACCCCAGTGCCTACAACTACAAATACTTTAATACATACTTAAAATTTGCTAAGAGAGTAGATTTTATGTTAACATATTATGTTGTAATATGATATGCTACAGTCTGAATGTTTGTGTTCCACCAAAATTTATATGCTGATACCTAATTCTGAGTGCAATATTATTAAGAGTTAGAGCCTTTAGAAAGTGTTTAGAACATGAAGGCAAAGCCCTCATGAATGGAATTAGTGTCCTTATAAAAGAGGCAAGAGGGAGCTTTTTCACCTCTTCTGTCATGTTCTACAGGAAGTCATCATCTGTGACAAACTGGCCTTCACCAGACATTGAATCTGCTGGCACCTTGATCCTGTACTTTCCCACCTTCAGAACTGTGAGAAATAAATTTCCATTGTTTATAAATTACCAAGACTAAGGTATTTTGATATAGAAGCCCAAACAAAGACAGAAATTCATACCAGGAGTGGTTGCTGCTATATAAAATACCTTAAAAAAGTGGAACGGGCTTTGAAATTGGATAATCGGAATACCTTATAAACATGGAACGGGCTTTGAAATTGGAGAATCAGTAGAAGAGTTTTAAAGAGCACGCTGGACAAAAGCCTGTATTGCCCTGAACAAACCATAAAGGGCAATTTCAATGAGGCCTAAGAAGAAGAGGAGGTCTGCAGAGATAGCCTCAATCTTCTTAGAGATTACCTAAGATGTTAGGAATCTAACGTTGGTAGAAATATCAATGGTAAAGGATATTCTGATGAGGACACAGTTGGAAATGAATGTCATGTTATTGGAAACTGGTGGAAAGCTATTCTTTTTATAAAGTGGAAAATAACTTGGCGAATTATGTTCATGTCCTAGTGTCTTGCGAAAGGTAGAGCTCCTGGACAATGAAATAGAATATTTGGCAGAAAAAATCATCAAAATGTTAAGGGTATGACCTGGCTTCTCTTGACTCCTAACAGTGTAATCTGAGAAAGAATTAAAATTAAAGTTGGAATTTGTAATCACAAGGAAATCAGAACTCAAAGATCTGGAAAATTCTCTTTCTTGCCATGTTGTAAAGAATGAATATGTGTGCTTGGGAGAGAACACCAAGGTTATCGCCAAGTGGACAGTTCATGAGATTAGTATGGATGAGTAGACGCCAGGCGTTATTCATCAAGAACATGGAAGAATGATCTCAAAGGCATTTCAGACATATTTAGGGCTGCCCTGCCCATTATGGTCTCAGAATGCCAGGGCTTTTGATGCAAAACAATTTCAAGGCTCTTCTCCCTGTATTCCGTTGCAGCACTACTTGGCTGCCCCATCTGTGGCACAAGCCAGACCAGGTGCAGCTTAGGCCACCCTTCTAAAGGGCACAAGTGGTAAAGTTTGATAGCATCCATGCAGTACCACGTTTGCAGGCTCACAGAGTGCAAGGAGCTGTGGGACAATGGCTACCTTCATCTAGATTTCAAAAGATGCCCTAGTGCCCAGGCAGAGGATTGCCATAGGCAAGGGGCCACTGCAGAAATCCCACACAAGGGCAATGCTTAGTAGAGCCATTGGGTGAAGCCACCTCTGAGATCCCAGAACTTGCAAGAGCTTGCAAGTCCAGCCTGGGAAAGGTGCAGTCACATGACTCCAACCTGTGAAAGCTTCAACATGGGCCGTACCTAGCAAATTCATGGAGGTAGGGCCACCTAGAACCTTGGGGCCCAATCTCTGGCCCAGTGTATCTGGAAGGTGGGGCATTGTAAAAATAAAGATTATTCTTAAAGCTTAATATTCAATGTTGTTTGCCCTGATGGGTGTTGGAATTACTTGGGACCAGCTCTTTCTTTCTTCCTACTTCTTTCTTTGGGAATGGGAATGGGAATGTTTGTCCTGTTCTTGCCACACCATTGTAGTTTGGAAGCACAAAACTTGTTTGATTTCTCAGGGTCATAGCTGGAGAGCAATTTGCTTCAAGACCAAGTGTACCTTGAGTCTCAACCATATGTGATTTAGAGGATATTTAGATGAGATGCTGGACTACAATTCTGAATTGATGCTGAAATGAGATAAGACTCCTGGGGATATTGGGATGCAATAAATGTATTTTGTGTGTGAGAAGTGCATGAATTTTGTGGGGCCAAGGATGAGATACTATGGTGAGAAAAATTACGCTTGCCAAAAATTCATATGGTGGTACCTAATCCCCAGTGCAATTTTATTAGGAGGTTGGGGATCTGGGAGGTGATTAGGTCAAGAGGGTAGAGACCTCTTGAATGGAATTAGTAACCCTATAAAAGAGACACAAGAGAGCTTCCTTTGCCCCTTCCACCATGCGAAGACACATGGAGAAGGCACAATCTATAGGAACAGACACCATACATCAAATTTGCTGGCATCTTGATCTTGTACTTCCTAGCTCCAGAAATGTGAGCAATAAATGACTATGCTTTATAAATTACCAAGTTTAAGGTATTTTGCTTTAGCAGCACAAACAGACTACGACATGGTGTTTTTACTGAAAAAAAAAAAAGTACAAGACAGGTACAGTCTGTGGGAGGAGGTAGATGTGTTCATGGCTTTGATGACTGTGATGGTTTCACAAGTGTATACTTATCCCTAAACTCACAGAATTGTATACATTAAATCTGTATAGCTTTTTACATGTCACTTATACCTTAGTAAAGTAGTTTTTAAGTCACTCATTTTATATATATTATGTAGAACATCTTAAATAAAAAATATGATCAAATTACATTCTGAAACCTAATACACAAAAAAGAAATAATATTAATCTTAGGAGTCTATCACTAACTACATCTTCAGCTGTGATCAATTTTGATATTTATTTTATCTAAAGACTTATTTTTAGTTTTGACAATTGCATTTTAAATTTTTAAGAAATTATTTACTTTTTCATATCAATTTGGTTTTTTAATGTAATAGTCACTGAATCTCCCCAAGAATATTAATTTCACCTATTTTATACATTGTATAATTCTCTTTTCATAATGGCAGAACTTCGATCAGTGCCCCTGATTGTGAACTTTGCATGGAAGAAGAAATGGCTGGATGCGATACTGATTCATGGGCTGTAGCCAATGGTTTGGCTGGATGGTCAGGGACTTGGAAAAAGCATTATTGGAAAATTGGTGACAAAAAAATTTTGGGAAGAAGTATGTGGATGGACCTTGCTGAGTGGTCAAAAATTGTGAAGATATTTGTATTCCCATGTGAGTGCTCACCAATGGGTGACCTCAGCAGAGGAGGATTTTAACAATCAAGTGGATAGGATGACCCATTCTGTGGACACCATTCAGCCTCTTTTCCGAGCCACGCCTGTCATCACCCAATGGGCCCGTGAAAAAAGTGGCCATGGTGGCAGGGATGGCTACTCATGGGCTCAGCAACATGGACTTCCACTCACCAAGGCTGACCTGGCTATGGTCACTGCTGAGTGCCCAATTCACCAGCAGCAGAGACCAATACTGACTCCTCGATATGGCATCATTCCTCGGGGTGATCAGCCAGCTACTTAGTGGCACGTTGATTATCCTCTTTCATTATGGAAAGGGCAAAGGTTTGTTCTCACTGGAATAGACACTTACTCCGGATATGGGTTTGCCTATCCTGGATACAATGCTTCTGCCAGGACTACCATCTGTGGAATCATGGAATGCCTTATCCACCATCATGGTAGTCCACTCAGCAATTCTTCTGACTGAGGCACTCACCTTATGGCTAAAGGAGTGCGGCAGTGGACTTATGCTCATGGAATTCACTGGTCTTACCATGTTCCCTATCATCCTGAAGCATCTGGATTGATAGAACGGTGGAATGGCCTTTTGAAGTCACAATTACAATGCCAACTAGGTGACAATACTTTGCAGGGCTGGGGCAAAGTTATCCAGAAGGCCATGTATGCTCTGGATTAGTGTCCAATATATTGTACTGTTTTTCCCATAGCCAGGATTAAGGGGCCAGGAATCAAGGGGTGGAAGTGGAAGTGGCACTACTCACCATCACCCCTAGTAATCCACTAGCAAAATTTTTGCTTCCTGTTCTTGCGACATTATGTTCTGCTTGCCTAGAGGTCTTAGTTCCAAAGGGAAGAACGCTGCCACCAGGAGACACAACAATTCCACTAAACTGGAAGTTAAGACTGCCACCTGGACACATTGGGCTCCTCCTACCTTTAAGTCAACAGGCTAAGGGAGTTACAGTGTTGGCTGGGGTGATTGACCTGGACTATCAAGATGAATTCAGTCTACTCCTCCACAACAGAGGTAAGGAAGAGTATGCATGGAATACAGGAGATCCATTAGGGCGTCTCTTAGTATTACCATGCCCTGTGTAAGGTCAATGAGAAACTACAACAGCCCAATCCAGGCAGGAATACAAATGGCCCAGACCCTTCAGGAATGAAGGTTTGGTTCACTCCACCAGGAAAAACAAACAAACAAACAAACAACAACAAAAAACACCTGACCTGCTTAGGTGCTTACTGAAGGCAAACGGGATACCGAATGGGTAGTAGAAGAAGGTAGTCATCAATACCAGCTACAATCACGGGACCAGTTGCAGAAACAAGGACTAATTGTCATGAGTATTTCTTCCTTCTTTTGTTAAAAACATGTTTGTGCAAGCATACACTTATACTAAGAAAATATCTTCGTCTTATTTCCTTTTTTTCTTTAGCATGTATCATAGGATTTACTGACTTCATATCAGCATTTAATTATTATTAACTTTATGTAATACCATTTGGGTTGGAGATTGGTGCATTTCCGGTTGTATGAATGATAGCTGTATTATGTTAGGTATAATTATGACCTTATTATTGTCTTTATTTGAAGATTATGTATGATCTCAGGAGATGTGTGTGGCTTCAAGTTGACAAGGGGTGGACTTGTGATGGTTAATATTGAGTGTCAACTTGATTGGATTGAAGGATGCAAAGTATTGATCCTGGGTGTGTCCGTGAGGGTGTTGCCAAAGGAGATTAACATTCGAGTTAGTGGGCTGGGAAAGGCAGATCCACCCTTAATTTACGTGGGAACCATCTAATCAGCTGTCAGCAGATATAAAGCAGGCTGAAAAACATGAAAAGGCTAGACTGGCCTAGCCTTCCAGCCTACATCTTTCTCCCGTGCTGGATGCTTCCTTCCCTCAAACATTGGGCTCCAGGTTTTTCAGTTTTGGGACTTGGACTGGCTTTTCCTCCTCAGCTTACAGACGGCCTACTGTGGGACCTTGTGATCATCTGAGTTAATACTTAATAAACTCCCCTTTATTTATACATATATCCTATTAGTTCTGTCCTTCTAGAGAACCCTAATACAGCCCAGTAATGGGATTGCTGGATTGAATAGTAGTTGAGTTTTAAGTTCTTTGAGAATTCTCCAAACTGCTCTCTACAGTGGCTAAGCTAATTTGCAATCCAATCAGCAGTGTTTAAGTCTTCCTTTTTTACTGCAACCTCTCCATTATTTGTTATTTTTTTACTTTTATAATAGCTATTCTAGCCTGTGTCAGATGGTATCTAACTGTGATTTTGATTTGCATTTCTCTAATGGTTAGCGTTGCTGAGAATTTTTTCATGTGCTTGTTTGCTACGTTTGTCTTTTTTTGATAAGTTTCTGTTCATGTCCTTTTCCTACTTCATAATGAGGTTGGTTTCTGCTTGTGGATTTCTTTAAGTTACTTATGTATTCTGAATATCAGACCTTTACTGGATGCATAGTTTGTTAGTATTTCCTCCCATTCCATAGGTTATCTGTTTATTCTGTGGATAGGTTCTTTTGGCATGCAGAAGGTCTTTATTTTAATTAGGTCCCACTTGTCAATTTTTGTTTTTGTTGCAATTGCTTTTAGAGTCTTCCTCATGAAATTTTTGCCAGAGCCAATGCTCAGGATGGTATTTCCTAGGTTTTCTTCCAGGGTTTTATAGTTTTAGGTTTTACATTTAAATATTTAATCCATCTTGAGTTGATTTTTGCATATGGTGAAAGGAAGGGGTCCAGGTTGAATCTTCTGCATATGGGCAGCCATTTATCTCAGAATGATTTATTAAATAGGGAGTCCTTTCCTCATTGTTGACCTTGTCAAAGATGATATGGTTGTTAAGTGTGTGGCTTATTTCTGTGTTCTCTATTCTGTTCGATGGTCTCTATGTCTGTTTTGGTACCAGGACCATGCTGTTTTGGTTACTGTAGCATTGTATAGTTTGAAGTCAGGAAATGTAATATCTCTGGCTTTGTTCTTTATGCTTAGGATTGCTTTGGGTATTTAGGCTCTTTTTTGGTCCCATATGAATTTTAGAATTTTTTTTCTGATTCTGTGAAAAAAATGTCACTGTTAGTTTGCCAGGACTAGCATTGCATATGTAAATTGCTTTGGGTAGTATGGCCATTTTAAAAATATTGGTTCTTCTTATCCATGAGCATGGAATGTTCTTCCCATTTGTTTGTGTTATTTCTGATTTCTTTCAGCAATGTTTTATAATTCTCATTGTAGAGATCATTTACTTCTCTGATTAGCTATATTCCTATGTATTTCATTCTTTCTGTGGCTATTGTGAATGGTATTGCATTCTTCATTTGGCCCTCAGCTTGGATATTACTGGTGTATAGAAATGAGAATCGCTTGAACCTGGGAGGTGGAGGTTGCAGTGAGCCAAGATCAGGCCTCTGCACTCCAGCCTGGGCGACAGAGTAAGACTCTGTCTCAAAAAAAAAAAAAAAAAAGAAATGCTACTAATTTTTGTACATTGATTTTTTTCTTCTAATCCTTTGCTAAATATGTTTATCAGATCTGGGAGTCTTTGAGGAGAGATTATGGGACTGTCTAGGTATAGAATCATATCATCTGCAAAGAGAGATAGTTTACCTTCCTCTGTTTTTTTTTGGATGCCTTTTATTTCTTTCTCTTGCCTAATTGCTATGGCTAGAACTTCACACACTATCATTCTTGCTGTTTACAAAAAAAAAAAAAAAAAGTCAGGAACATTCTTACCTCAAGACCTCTGTTTGCACTTCTTTTTGTTTTGCCTAATGTTGTTCTTAGAGATATATTTTTGGCTTGGACATATTTTTCTGTAGCTCCTCACTCAAATAAAATCAACATATTAATAGCATCTTTCTTGGCCACTATCTATAATTGCAATCTCCAGGCCTCCTGCCACCCTTTTTATTCTTTCATTTTTATTTCTCCTTAACACTTACTTCTATTTAATATGGTTTATTTAACTTATTTAATTTAGTACTGTCTGTTTCGTTTCACTGTAATATAAGCTTCTTGGCAATATGGAATTCTCATTCTCTCTCTCTCTCTCTCTCTCTCTCTCTTTCTCTCTCACTCCACTAAAAAAGTGACTCATACATAGACCTTGAAGGAGTACTCAGCACATAATAGGTGACCTATAAATATTTGGCAAATGAATCAAATGATTCAGCAGTAATATTAACAAGTCTAAAGAATGATCAAAACCATTAGTCTATATTTCTTTACTAACACTATGCCCTAACCAGCTGAGTTAACAAAATAATAACTATGATCTTACATTCTGAAGATACTAAAGTATCATGGCTGGTAAAGCCTTTGGGGATCTCCCTGAGTAATCAATTTATATTACAGATGAGGGCATTTAAACGTAGTTTTATGGCTATATAGTAGCAGAGCCAGTGTTAAACTTTGTGTCTCCTGATTTCTAGTCTAGCTTTTTAGCTAACTTTGTACATTGCATTTTGATTTATAGCCAAATATGCCAGTCACGATGTGAAAAATTGTCTTTATCTCTGAATTTTTGCAGCTTTACAAACCGTTCTTAGTAACCACTTGTGAACAGGATCAAATATGATAAAAAATTATGTTCTTTTTAATATTTAAAGGAAATACTGATCCAGTTCTGTCATAAGCTTCAACTATACAACATCATTATTTGAACAGTGAAGAATAAAATCTATCAGTTTACAAATAACTCGGTTTAATGTGTTTAATGCCAACATAAGAGACATTGTTTTTTCATTTAATTTATGCTGTATAACATTAAATTATACTTGTAGTCTCCATTTTCTTACAACATAATGATAATTGACAAAAATATTGCTTTTAGCTGCTGTTTGTGAGGAAAATATTTGGTGCTGTCTCTATAAGATCAAAAACATTTAGACTATGTTGATATTTACATTAATAGCTTAGTAAGTATTGATTACAAAACAAAACACAAGATTTTAAAAAGCTATTCCTGTTTCAATAGTAGTTTATATAAATACACAGTAGTACCCCCTTATACGCAGGGAATAAGTTCCGAGACCTCCAGTAGGTTTCTGAAATGGCAGACAAACTTAACCCTATATATACTGTACTATGTTTGTTCTTTGCATATATGTATGATAAAGTTTAATTTATAAATTAGGCACAGGAAGAGATTAACAACAATAAGTGATCATAAAATAGAACAATTATAATAATATGAGCTATGTGAATATGGCCTCTCTCTCACTATCTTACTGCACTGTACTCACCTCTTTTCAGACCATGGTTGACCATGGGTAACTGAAACTACAAAAAGCAAAACTGTGGATACAGGGCTACTACTGTGTTTATTTATCACAAAAGATGTAAAATTACTTGAAACAGTAACACATATCTGTGATATATTTATTCCATTTACAAATAAGTTTTAATGATTATTTGATATATAATTATATAAAATATTATACATTATGTAATTATGTTATATGATATATATTTTTATATAATATATAAACAACTTTATAATTCTAAAAAGTTCTTTTGGTCCAAAGGTTTTGTAAGTGAGGTGTGTGTGTGTGTGTGTGTGTGTGTGTGTAATTATATAAAATATTCATATAATAATATATAATAATGACTGGTAGTATTGTAGGCTGAATGCTTGTGTCCCCCTAAAATGTTTACATTGAAGTCTTAACCTCCAGTGTTATGGTATTTGGAGATGAGTTATTTGGGATGTAACTAGGTTTAGATGACATGAGAGTGGAGGTCCCATGTTAAGATAAGTACCTTTTTTATCAAGAGGAAGAGGCGGAGTGTGGTGGCTTATGCCTGTAATCCCAGCACTTTGGGAGACCAAGGCAGGTGGATTATGAGGTCAGGAGTTCGAGACCAGTGTGGCCAACATAGTGAAACCCCTGTCTCTACTAAAAATACAAAAAATTAGCCAGGCATGGTGGCGGGTGCCTGTAATCCCAGCTACTTGGGAGGCTGAGGCAGGAGAATCGCTTGAACCTGGGAGGTGGAGGTTGCAGTGAGCAGAGATCGTGCCACTGCACTCCAGCCTAGGCGAAAGAGTGAGACTTCCCCTCAAAATAAAAAAAGAACAAAAAGAAGAGGAAGAGACATTAATGAAGAGCCTGATACTATGTGCTTTACTTGCATTTTCCCATTCAATACATATAAACATTTATGAGGTAGATACTACAAGTTTTCTCATTTTAGAGATGAGAAAAGTAAAGAATAAAAAGGTAAAATAACTGGCTCAATGTCAGAATTAGGAAATAAATTTGAGTCTGCTGAATTTTAGAGTGCAGTCTCTGTACCATCATGTTATACTTTTAATGCAAGAAAACCAAAGTAGAACAATATTTAAAAATCTAGAATATAAATAATATTATGCCAAATGGGAATATTAATGATTAGACCAGTACTTTCTAGAACATTAATATTGGCTTGATGGAAACTTTCTCCGAGTTGTACTGCATTCTGAAACCCTCCCTATCCAATCATTTCTTCCTTCCCTCTCTCTCTCACAAATGTCAGATCAGTATGATTGTCTGAAGGTGCTACCCACCATTTCTAGGTCTTTCCACTTTTTTTTAATCTTACAAGCTTTTTTCTCAACAAATCTCAAGTATGTCTAACCTAATCTTTATGTCTTTTTCTCAGAGGACACAAACACACACTGTAGTAAGTCCCTGATAAGTACTAATTTTCTCCATTACAGCCAACTTTTGGTTATTTGCCAACCAAATGACTCCATTTCTCCATTATCTGTCTCTATTCATCATTCCTTCTTTCTCAAGCAAATATGTTTGTATCTCATTGTAGAGCAGCTCTGTCTGCTCACATCCCCACATACCTACCAAAAGACATGTCTTAATGTGTAAGTTTCTAAGTAGGATTATCAAATCACTTACCTAATAGAAGAAGAGCTCTTTTGGAAGGAGTCATGACCATACAAGTTGCTAATAAAAGTAAGATTGTACCCATTATATTGCATACATAAAATATTTAGGAATAGACATAACAAGATATGACAGAAGCTGTATTTATAAAATTGCAAATACTTGCAGAGGAACATAAAGGAAGTCCTGAAAAAATGACAAGAAAAACTGTATTACTAAGTAAGAAGACTTAATTTCATAAACTTTCCAGTTATTTCTCACATTAAGCTACAAAATCTAAATATCACAAGTGTTGTTGCTGTAGCTTTTTTGGTTTGTTGTTTTGTTTGTTTGTTTTTGAGACTGAGTCTTGCTCTGTCGCCCAGGCTGGAGTGCAATGGTAAGATCTCTGCTCACCAATGGCAACAAAAGCCAAAACTGACAAATGGGATCTAATTAAACTAAAGAGCTTCTGCACAGCAAAAGAAACTACCATCAGAGTGAACAGGCAACCTACAGAATGGGAGAAAATTTTCGCAACCTACTCATCTGACAAAGGGCTAATATCCAGAATCTACAATGAACTCAAACAAATTTACAAGAAAAAAAACAAACAACCCCATCAAAAAGTGGGCGAAGGACATGAACAGACACTTCTCAAAAGAAGACATTTATGCAGCCAAAAAACACATGAAAAAATGCTCATCATCACTGGCCATCAGAGAAATGCAAATCAAAACCACAATGAGATACCATCTCACACCAGTTAGAATGGCAATCAGTAAAAAGTCAGGAAACAACAGGTGCTGGAGAGGATGTGGAGAAATAGGAACACTTTGACACTGTTGGTGGGACTGTAAACTAGTTCAACCATTGTGGAAGTCAGTGTGGCGATTCCTCAGGGATCTAGAACTAGAAATACCATTTGACCCAGCCATCCCATTACTGGGTATATACCCAAAGGCCTATAAATCATGCTGCTATAAAGACACATGCACACGTATGTTTATTGCGGCATTATTCACAATAGCAAAGACTTGGAACCAACCCAAATGTCCAACAATGATAGACTGGATCAAGAAAATGTGGCACATATACACCATGGAATACTATGCAGCCATAAAAAAATGATGAGTTCATGTCCTTTGTAGGGACATGGATGAAATTGGAAATCATCATTCTCAGTAAACTATCACAAGAACAAAAAACCAAACACCACATATTCTCACTCACAGGTGGGAATTGAACAATGAGATCACATGGACACAGGAAGGGGAATATCACACTCTGGGGACTGTTGTGGGGTGGGGGGAGGGGGGAGGGATAGCATCGGGAGATATACCTAATGCTAGATGACGAGTTAGTGGGTGCAGCACACCAGCATGGCACATGTATACATATGTAACTAACCTGCACAATGTGCACATGTACCCTAAAACTTAAAGTATAATAAAAAAAAAAAGAAAAGAAAAAGATCTCTGCTCACTGCAACCTCTGCCTCCCAGGTTCAAGAGATTCTCCTGCTTCAGCCTCCCGAGTAGCTAGGACTACAGGCATGTGCCACCATGCCTGGCTAATTTTTTGTATTTTAAATAGAGACAACGTTTCACCGTATTAGCCAGGATGGTCTCAACCTCCTGACCTCGTGATCCACCTGCCTTAGCCTCCCAAAGTGCTGGGATTACAGGCATGAGGCACCGCACCTGGACATTGCTGTAGCTTTTGAAAAATTTTTTGTCATTATTGTTGTTGACAATATAATTATATTGATCATATGGAAAAATGGACAACCAGTAATGAACAGGTAATTCTAGCCAAAGAAGAGCAATGAGAGAATACTTTCCTTAAGAGAAACTACTCTGTTCTTCAGGATGATTCATTATAGACTGGACTCAAGATAGCTTTCAGTAAGGTCTCGCCTCCCTCCAGGCATTTATTCATAGAAGGTTGTAGAGCAAAGCAATTCATGTAGCTTCTAACCGGTGATTAAGATCCAAAGCTGAGGGTAGAATCTTCAAACAACCTCCATTTCATAGAAAGCCAGGTATTCATGGGGACATGACACTCTGTTTGAGTTGAATTATGTCCTCCCCAAATTTATATATTGAAGCCGTAAACATCAGTACCTGAGAATGTGATCTTATGTGGGAATACGGTCTTTGAGTATATAATTTGTTAAGATAATGCAGGAGGCTATGATTGATGTCTTTATGAAACGGGAAATTTGTACACAGACATGCACACAGAGAAAAAGTCACATAAACATGAAGACAGCAATTGGGTTGATCCATATTACAGGACAAGTAGTATCATAGATTGACAGAAAACCACAGGAAGCTAGGAGGGAGGGCTGGAACAGAGTCTCCCTCAGAGCCTCTAGAAGGAACCAGCTCTGCTGACACCTTGGTCTCAGATATCTAGCCTCCAGAAGTGTGGGAAAATGATTTTTGTTGTTTAAGCCACCCAGTCTGTGGTACTCTGTTACAGAAGCACTAGTAAACTAATACATACCCTTTGCAGAGCTTATTAAGAATCAGCTAGACAGGCTCTCCAATTCCCAACGTATATAAACAGAAAAGTAGGTAAAAAGATGCAAAATACTGGAGAGCAAGCATCAATGGCCTTATGGAAATTTACCCTCTTAGAGAAGGGAAAGAGGTACTTTCTCACTCAGAAGATAAACGAAGAGGCTCCAAGAAATTCATTCTTAGAGACTGGTGGTATATTTAACTGAAGAAGACAGGCAACTGATTACCTTGCTAAATTCATTATTAAATGGTAATCCACAGACCAGCACCATCATCATCACCTGATAAAGTGCTAGGCACGCACATTATTGGGTTTCACCCCAGACCTACTGAATCAGAAACTCTAAAAATAGGGCCTAACTATCTATGTTTGAACGAACTGTCTTGGTGATTCTGATGCACATTCACATTTGTGGGCCACTGACTTATGCGTGGGCTTGCTGGTTTCCCCCGTGCCTATTTCAGCAGAAACAAATGAACATTTCAGAGAAATGGTTGAACAGAGAGGGGGCAGCAACAACAAAGCAGGCACTCTCAGTGTTGGGCATAACAGAGATGCATTCTTTTATCATGATGTCGTAGATGCCATAGAAGAATTTGAACCATCCTGTTGTTACTGTAGCCAGAAGGGCTGGCTATGGAAAGAAGGAAACTCTAATGGCAACACGCTAGAGGGTATGCCCTTGAGTATAAAGGATAAGTAGGAGTTAAAAAGGTCTGGCTAGAGTGAGCTCATCATAAATATTGGCTTAAGTCTGAACTTAGAACTCTGGGTATAGAATTACTTAAAATATCTTCTCTCCCAGAACATGGATTAACTTAACCCCAGGACTTGCTCAGGTGCTGAGCTGACAAGTGAATGCTTAGTGGTCCTCACTATGGAAATTGGTCAGTGAAAGAGGCTGCGAGTTTGGCAGATCCCTACAGATGGTAGGTTGTTGCTATCACCTGTGTATGAGAAAGTTTTTTTTTTTTTATTATGGTAACGTGCATTTAGAAAGATTTAGAGATGTGCTGGTTTCACAGTGTGATCACAATTTTGTTACAACTTGCCTCACTCTTACTAACATAGATTTCTCTTTTCTGTTTTTTACAGGATGTAACATCAATTCAAATTATTGTTTTATTTTCATTTGGAGGCCAGAGAAACATGTTATGATCTGAACATTCAGAAGCCATACACAGACACGTGATATTTGTCAATTTAGACTGAAAAGTAAAATGCAAGATTTAGAAAGTAGTTCTTGAATTGTTATAAGTTCATGAGATGAAAAAACTAGTAAGTTAGCCTACAAACCAAACTGTAGATAAAGAAGAAGTCTCTAAAATGGTAGGGTTTTGCATTAGCCACCATTCACACAAGCAATAAAAAATAGGCCACCAGCTATATAGAAAAAATATTTTCATGGGCTTAGAAATATAAAGGAGTAAAGAAATTACTTAAACCATGCCTATATCTAGTGTAAGAGTTTCTTTTACAATTTTACTGTAGATGATCAAATATCCATTGATGGTGTGCCTCTGGTGATGAGAAGCTCACTGAGAAAGACTGTACCATTTTAAACATTGCTGATTGCTCTGGAAGTTTGCCCTTATATTGAAATGGACTTTGTTTCTCCATAACTTTCACTGGTTGGCATATTGGTGAAGAACTGGGAGAAAAAAATACTAATTAAATTGAATTGAAATTGGTCTTAGGCCAACCCTCTAAGGCTACACCAATTGGCATTACCTAGGTTTAGGCATTAGTTGTAATGAATTTTATATTGAAATACATATTTGTTCATGTCTAAAGTGGAACAAAATAAATTACATAGGGGACTGTACCTAGAAGTTTAAATAGAATAGAGATGTAAAAGATCTTGACTGGGCATGGTGGCTTATGCCTGTAATCTCAGCACTTTGGGACGCTGAGGTGGGTGGATCCCTTGAGCTCAGGAGTTGGAGACCAGCCTGGCCAACATAGAAAAACCCCATCTCTACAAAAAAAATACAAAAAATTAGCTGGATGTGGTGGTGCCCGCCTGTGGTCCCTGGTACTTCAGATGCCAAGGTGAAAGTATCACTTGAGCCTGGGAGGCAGAGGTTGCAGTGAGCCTAGATCATGCCACTGCATTCCAGCCTGGGTGACAGAGCAAGACCCCATATCAAAAAAAAAAAAAAGTAAGTGCTATATAAGTTGTAATAAATTATTGCCAAGGCACAGGCACTACCTGCCCTTAACATAAAGATTTTACCATGTAAAACAGAAAAGGATGATGTTGCTGTATAAGTGAAGATGGAATGTCTTGAGTGCCATATTTCTCTACAGATATTCATGTTTCATATCTTTTTTTATCTCTACCCAGCTATGTCACAAAAGGAATCAAAGCAATTTATGTAGACAGTGGCACATGTGGTAGTTGATATCATGTGCTAGAAATTCAAGGTGGGCAATTGGTAGTGTTAGATGAGTATTCTGTGAATGAAGACATTGCTGTACCTGAAATAATTTAACACTGGTTGAATGGACAAATTAAGGAAAGAGAATTGAAAGTTATGAAGGGACATGGCTGATCAATTTCATCACTCTGTGCCATGAACATTTGTCTCTAAAGAATCAACATATCTTCCTAGTGTGAGAAATACTATGATCCAAATTATTTTCTAAACAAGTATAACCCATTAACACATGAACTTGAATTAGTTTATAAATATTATAACACTGGGAGGAACAGTTTGTTTTTCCTGGAGAAGGAAGGATTGCCAAAAATGTCTATAACTTCTAGAGAAACAGACATACTAGCTAGGGGAAGAGGGCATATCAAAGACAGTCACAGGGTAATATTTTCCATACTAGGTTTCTACTTAAATTTTCACAGTTGCACATTTATGTTTACATAACTTCATACCTTTCTATAAAGGTCTTAATTGACATTTATTTAATGTACCAACCACTAGCATAGCTCCTGTCAGGCACTGATAGTTTCCAAGAGTCTTCCCTTATTGAAAGTAAAAATATTTTCACATAAAATTGGGTAGGAAGTGAAAGAGGAAAACCAATTTGAACCAAATCCTGAAGGTCCAGTAACATGCCCAGCGGTATAAGATGTAGTAATAGATGAATGAGGTTCTGACCAATGAAGGTCACATTGTCATCTCCCATGGAAAAAGGAAGGGATGGAGGAAAAGGAGGGAGTACGTGGTAGTTCTTTCCCCAAAGAAATTATCATGCTTGATAAGAGGGGGTAAAAATTCCTTTTCCTCAGTATAGTTGTCTGAGTATAAAGATGTCAAAAATTTCTGTGACATATACGAGATACCAGATGTTATATTATCCTTCAGATATAATTAAAGTGTTTTTCATGCTGGTGCATGATATTAAATACTATATTTTATACTAAGTGTTACATATGAGCAAAATATTTGGAATTTAATTGCCAACATTTTTGAGGAGGCAAAGCAAGATGGCAGAATAGAAGGCTCCACCAGTCATCCCTCACAGCAAGAATACTAATTTAACAACTACCTACATGTAAAAACACCATCATAAGAACCAAAAATCAGGTGAGCCCTCATAGTAACTGGTTTTAACATCATATCGCTGGGAGAGACACTAAAGAGATAGAAAAATCAGTCTTAAACCACTGGCTCCACTCCACCAACTCTCTCCTACCTCCCCCATCGAAACCCCAGCCCACCCCACTCTATCTCAGCAGCCACAGCATGGTGTGGAGAGCATGTCTGGGAGTTGGGGGAGGGAGAGTCCAGCAACTGTGACATATTGCACTCAGTGCTGTCCTGGAAAAGCAGGAAGGAAAACTAGACCAAAACTCAGCTGACAACCACCTATTGTCGTTGCATTTAAACCAGCCCTACGCAGAGGGGAATCACTAATCCCAGCCATCTGAACTTGAGTTCCCTCTAACCTAGCATCAAGGGGCTGAAATGCCCTGGGGCTCTAAATAAACTCAAAAGGCGTTGTATGCTGCAAAAACTGCAACTCTTAGGCAAGTCCTAGTACTGAACTAGGCCCAGAGACAGTGGACTGAAGGGGCACATAACCTACTGAGACGCGAGCTAGGGCAGCTAAGGGAGTGCTGGCATTACCCTTTTCCTAAATCCAGGCTACATAGCTCATGACTCCAAAACAGACCCCTTCCTTGTGCTTGAGGAGAGGAGAGTGAAGAGTAAGGAGGACTTTGTCTTGCATCTCGGATACTCTCTCAGCCACAGCAGGATAGGGTAATAGTCAGAGTTGTGAGGCCCCCATTCTAGGCCCTGGTTCCTGGAAGATATTCCTAAACACTCTGGGACAGAAGGGAACCCACTGCCTTGAAGGGATGGACCCAATCCTGGCAGTATTCATCACCCACTAAATGAAGAGCCCCGGGGCCCTTAATAACCAGCAATGATACCCAGGTACTACTTTGACGGTCCTTAATGCTTCACCTATAAAGACACAGATAGACTGAAAGTAAAGCAATGGAAAAAGATATTACATGCAAATGAAAACCAAAAAAGCAGGTGTGACTAGATTTGCATCAGACAAAATAGACTTCAAGACAAAAACTGTAAGAAGAGACAAAAAGGTCACTATATAATAATGAAGTTGTCAATTTAACAAGAGAATATAACAATTTTAAATATATATTGCCAACACTAGAAGACCCAGATATGAAAAGCAAATATATTGGAGACAAAGAGAAATACCTCAGTACAGTAATAGTTGGGGTCTTCAACACCCCACTTTCAGCATTGAACAGATATTCCAGACAGAAAATCAACAAAGAAACATCAGACTTAATCTACACTATAGACTAAATGGATTGAATAGATATTTACAGAATATGTCATTCAACAACTGCAGAATACACATTCTTTTCCTCAGCACACGGATTATTTTCAAAGATAGACCATATGGGTAGGTCACAAAACAAGTCTCATAACATTCAAAGAAATCAAAATAATATCTATCACCTTCTCTGACCACAATAGAATAAAACTAGAAAACCACAAACCAGAGGAATTTTAGAACCTATAAAAACAAATGAAAATGAAACCATATGTTCCTAAATGACTTGTGGGTCAATGAAGAAATTAGGAAAACAATTGACAAACTTCTTGAAACAAATGATAATGGAAATACAACATACCAAAATTTATAGAATACACCAAAATCAGTACTAAGGGGGAAGTTTATAGCTATAAGTGCCTACATCAGAAAACACGAAAAACTTCAAGTAAACAATCAAGTGATGCATTTTAAAAAACAAGAAGAGCAAGAGAAAAACAAACCATAATAAGCAGGACCAAAAGAAATAAAGATCAGAGCAGTAATAAATAAAATTGAAATGAAGAAAACAATTTAAAAGATCAATAAAACAAAGTTAGTTTTTCAAAATTTGAACAAAATTGACAAATCTTTAGCGAGGCTAAATTTAAAAAGACAAGATCCAAATAAATAAATCAGAAATGAAAAAAAAAGACATTACAACTGATACTGCAGTTCAAAGCAGCATTAATTGCTACTATGAGCAACTATATTCCAATGAATTGGAAAATCCAGAAGACATGGACAAATTCCTAGACACATAAAGCCTAGCAAGATTGAGTCAGGAAGAAATGCAAAATCTAAATAGACCAATAACAAGCAATGAGATTGAAGCCGTAACAAAAAATTCCTCACTAAAGGAAACCCTGAGAACCAATGGTTTCACTACTGAATTCTAACAAACATTTGAAGTAGAACTAATACCAATCCTACTCAAACTATTGTGAAAAACAGAGGAGGAGGGAATACTTCCAAACTGATTCCACAAGGCCAGTGTTATCCTAATACCAAAACCAGACAAAGACACATCAAAGAAAAGAAAACCACAGGCCAACACCTCTGATGACTATTGATGCCAAAATCCTCAACAAGATTCTAGCAAACCAATTCAAAAATACTTTAGAAAGATTATTAATCATGACCAAATGGTATTTATCCCTGGGATGCAAGGATTGTTCAACATACACAAGTCAGTCAATGTGACACACCATATCAACAGAATGAAGGACAAAATACATATGATCATTTCAATTGATGCTGAAGAGCAATTGATAAAATTAAACATGCTTTCATGATTCAAAAAATCATCAAGAAAATGGGTATAGAAGAAACATACCTCAACATAATAAAAGTTATATATGACAGACACACATCTGGTATCATACCGAATGGGGAAGAATTGAAAGCCTTTTTTTTTAACATCTGAAATATGACACATAGACCAAAGGAACAGAACAGAGAACCCAGAAAGAAATTCACACACCTACGGTGAACTCATTTTTGACAAAGGTGGCAAGAACATACCCTGGAGAAAAACTCTTTTCAATAAACCATGCTAGGAAAACTGGAAATCTATATGCAGAAGAATGAAACTAGAACCTGATCTCACACCATATGGAAAAATAAAATTTAAATGAATTAAAACTTAAATCTAAGTCCTCAAACAATCAAACTACTAGAATAAAACCTTGTGGAGAATCTCCAGAACTTTGGTCTGTACAAAAATTTATTGAGCAATACCCCATGAGCACAGGCAACCAAAGCAGAAATAGACAAATGTGATCATATCAAGTTATAAAGCTTTTGTGCAGCAAAGGGTACAATCAACAAAGTGAAGAGACAACCCACAGAATGAGAGAAAATATTTGCAAACTACCCATCTGCCAACAGATGAATAACTGGAATATATTAGGAGTGCAAACATGTCTATAGGAAAAAGTCCAATAATCTGATCAAAAAATGGGCAAAAGATTTTAATAGACATTTCTCAAAAGAAGACATACAAATGGCAAGCAGGCTTATGAAAAGGTATCAACATAATTGATCATCAGAGAAATGCAAATAAAAGCTAGAGAGATACCATCTCACCCCAGTTAAAATGGCTTCTATCCGAAAGTCAAGCAATAACAAATGCGGCAAGGATGTGGAGAAAAGGGAACACTCGTACACTGTGGGAATGTAAATTAGTACAACCGCTATGGAGAACAGTTTGGAGGTTCCTCAAAATACTAAAAATAGAGCTACCGTATAATCCAGCAATCCCACTGCTGGTTATATACCCAAAAGAAAAACAAGGAGCATACATATAAAAAAATCTGTGCTCACATGTTTATTGCAGCACTGCTCCCAGTAGCCAAGATTTGGAAGCAACCTAAGTGTCCATCGACAGATGAATAAACAAAACGTGTCATAGGTACACGATGGAGTACTATTCAGTCATAAAAAATAATGAGAGCCTGTCATTTGCAATAACAAGAGTGGAACTGAAGGTCATTATGTTAAGTGAAATAAGCCAGGCACAGAAAAACAAGCATAGCATGTTCTTACTTATTTGTTGGATATAAAAATAAAAACAATTGAACTCATGGATGTAGAGAGTAGAAGGATGGTTACCATAGTCTGGGAAGTATACTGGGGTGATTGGGGGGTAGGTAGGAATTGTTATTGGATCCAAAAAGTAGAAAGCATGATAAGACCTACTATTTGATAGCACAATGGGGTGACTATAGTCAATGATAAATTTTATCTTTTAAAATAACTAAAAGATTACAATGGGTTTGTTTGTAACACAAAAGATAAATGCTTGTGGGTTGGATACCCCATTCTCCATTATATGATTATTTCACATTGCCTGCTTGCATCAAAACATTTTATGTGTCTTATAAATATATGCCCCTACTATGTACCCACAAAAATTAAAGATTTCACAATTTAGAAAATTTAGAAAAATGAGCATTTAAAAAAGATTGTATTTTTCTGTGGCATTACTATTTACCCAGCCATATAACTGAAGAATAATTTATTTGCAGGAAGAGGGCAAGAAGTCACCATGACACCCATTTAGGCCATATCCTCATTTTACAAAGAGTAAATCGAATTATGGGATGTCCCCCACCCAACTCAGCAGACTAGGCAGGCACTAGTTCAGGTTAGCCATTTGGCTTTCAAGGACTCATTGGGGCTGGAAATCCTAACCAAGGTGGTCTAATTCAAAAACAAGCAGTAAAGATATTCTGAGAAAAGTCCTTGAGGAAAAGTTCAGAATACTCAAAGTGATCTAATTACAACAGTGTGCTTAGAGGTATAAAAGCAGAATTATTAAAGAGAAAGCATGCCCAGAACAGAAATAGATGTAGTCTACTGTGGTTTGATAAAATCACAAAGAAGAGACTAGAATCCTGATGTGATGCAGATTAAATGACACAACAATGGATTTTATAATGTTTTCTTTCATCACCTTTTAAAAAAAGATATAGCTTAGCATATGAAAATTGTCCCTGGATCTGCTCACTGATACAGCTGATAGCTTTAGCACCTGCCACATTTTGCACGTGCAGGATTGGACTTTTCATTATGTGCAGGGCTGCAGACTCTTTCTACAGACTTAACCCTTTTTCATGAGAATGTTTCAGAGACTTACTTGGAAATCTGATTCATCCTCATATTAGCTACACTTAGAAACGAAATTTTCGGTGGCTTCCTCAGCATTTATGAGAGAAATTTAATATTGCACATTTGAAAATATATTTGAAATTTTGCTGAGAAGCAGAAGATAAATTCACACCAGGAAAAGTGGTATTTTGGTAGAAAATATCTATGCTGATGATAAGTGTCAATGACAATTTGTTGTTGTGACATAAAATTTAAATGGACTGGGTATTTAGAGATATGTATTCAATCAACATTTCCTCTTTTTCATGAGGAGAAATGCCTTTTGGTATATAGTTATTATCTTGTTTCTTTTGAACTTGAGAAATATTATGCGGGTCTGATTGGCCTGTTCTTCCAATGGTAAGTGCTAAAACTGTCTTATCCAAGCCTTAATTTGAAAATATGCCATTAGAAACTGTAAATACAATGAAGACAAAACTCCACTATTTTTGGCATTTTCTTCAGCTACGTATCTGTTGAAGTATTGAGAGCAGCACTGCGCTAGTATTATTGCTTTGCCTCCTGAATCTGATTACTATTATGATTTTTAAAAATTACATTAAATTACATTTAGGCAGATAAGAGTCATCTATTTGACTGTTGATCCTAGTATCACATAGTGCTAGAAGGGGCTTATTAGTTGCTAATACTTTTTAATAATAAAGAAGAAAAAAAGGTAAGTAATTGTGAGGAGGCAAATAGTTGTGGGATTCTGACTTCCTACCTTTGTGTCCTTGTTGAGGATAAGCATCATGGCTTCATCAGCTGCTATATTAATGGCTGATGGATGGTAATCACCAAACACATTTCTACTAGAGAAATGAATGATCAAATGAAATTCAACGCTCTTCTTTCCCTCTGCATCTTTTTTGTTTTGTTTTAGGAAGTACTAGTTCATTCTGACTTTTAGGACATCCCCAGCCCATCTTATATTACTTGTTTCAAAGAGAGATCAATAGGCATTTGAGGAGTCTATTGAAGATGAAAGAAAAAAAGAAAACTAGGCTGAATTTAGTAGCATCACCTATGGTGTGTTATTGGTATGCAGTACAAATAATACAATGGTTTTACCATTGCTAAGGCAACAAGGTCTAAAAAATATTTGATGCAGTTGATTTTGTTGGTTTGGAGCTATACTTATAAATTATAGAGATCAGATGTAGGCTTTTGTATCTCAGCCCACCTGACTATTGCATGTAGTAGCCACCTCTCAAAATATTTTTATCTATCTGGGTAAATTTGGAAACTCATAAAGTAAATGGCATCTCTCCTAAGAAACCTGTACAATTATATATGATGTCTCCTTGTTACTGATGAGTTAGTTATTCTTTTGCATATCAGTGATTTCCAAATATTTAGTTTCAAGTCCACAGAATTTATGTACATTAATTCTGGAGTCTAGTTCTTCAATTTTCAGATAAACTGCCTTGTTCAGCAAGGTTGTAAATTGTTTTTAGCAATGGCAACATATTTTAAGGATGTATTTGAAACCTTCAGATATTACAGATTGAGTACATCAAATCCAAAAATTTGAAACCCGAAATGCTCCAAAATTTAATAGTTTTTGAGTACCAACATAACACTCAACAGAAATGCTCATTGGAACATTTTGGATTTGGGATCTTGGATTTCCAGATTTGGAATACACAACCAGTAAATATAATGCAAATATTCACAAATCCAGAAAAATAATAAAAATTCTGAATCAATTCTCATTTCAAACATTTCATATAAGGGATACTCAACCTTTATCAGTATCCGTATCCATTTCAAGGTCTTTAATTGTCCCTAAATTTCCCACTTTTTGTAAAATGTCTTCAAAACCAAGGAACAGACTCCTTAGAGCAAATCTAGTTCCTTCCATTGCTTTGAGACTAGGTGTTTCAACACCATTAAACAATTCTAATGTATGACAGGTGTGATCCTCACTACCGAAAGACCGTCTCTTTTTATCTTGACTTCCTTCATAATTCAGGGCCTGTCCATTACAGTCTCGAAATTCTCAACTGGTTTTAATAACAATTTGCCCAAAGGCATGAAATTGTCATCCACTGCACACACCATCTCTGCAGGTAGCCCCAAGTTTTCTGCCAGGCCTTCTATAAACAGTGGCCGTCCCCCTGGGGGATCCAGGTATCCCTAATTTCCTCACTGGGGATGGTTGTAATTGTCTGTGGCTGTGGCTGAGGTGAGAGTCGGTCCTCTTGTTGCTGGGGTCAGCTCTGGGGTAAATTTTAAAGTGAGGTCTTCTAGAGCTACTACTTACTATTGCCTCAGTGCTTAATGTTTGACACCGGTCAGTTAATTGGGAAGAGGATAGTGTGAAATTCACACTTGGAAAGACACCCACATGTTTATCTGTTAATTCTGGTTTTGGACCTTTCAATTACACTGTCTTTAGTTGCCAAAGGATGTAAGCTTCTTCTTTCCTGAAATGTCACAGAGCATAGTCACTATGCCCTAAAAATGAAATCAGAACTGAAAATGAAAGAATGGTCAGGATCAGCAATTAATGCGGCAAAAGTTAAAATTACCATGAAAACCTTCACAGACTTCCCTCCATTAATCTCTAGAAGTGAGAGGGGTTTGATTCCTAAATGGCACTCGACTACTTTTTCGTATAATTTCTAACTTGCTAACTCTGAGTCAGGTCATTAAAGGTATTCTGTTAGTTTGTTTCTTTGAATAATTCTCCAGTAGTTTTGCAAACATGCTCTAGTGTCAACAGACTCCCATATGTTTTTAATTACTAATGATTGACACAGTGTTGCCTATTGTTAGTAGTAGAATTTCATTCCAGGGTTTGTTATCACTACTGGCAATATCCAACCATCAACAAATTTATTTTCCACCTACTTCTCACCTGCACCCTAGCAACTAAGTGTAACTGGAGAAAAATACCAACATATAGGTTGATCTCACCTCAAAATTCATGTCCAGGACTCCCAAGAGGGCCTTCTCTTTCTCTCCAGAAACCTTGCTGATTTTTTCCTGGTGCTGTGATATTTACATTCTTTTATCTCAACCATTACATTGTATCTCATCAATTCTTAATCTTATCTTTGGATTTGGGATGTAAGTAAGGCATATTCTTACTTCTACCACAATTAACAACCAGGGATGTATTATCTGGGCCTAGAAAGTATTTAAACCTGATTATCTTGTATTCTGTGTGAAACATACGGAAAAGACAAAGGAAGGCCAAAGCCAAGGACTGACTGATTAAACTAGTAAACATACAATCATACATTTTTAGATTCAGAGAGTTTATTGCACATATAACTAAATAAAGAATAGTCAAAGATGCCAACTCCCCATGGTCTGTATCTCACATACTAAGAAGGATGACACTGAAACAAAGAGGCTAGATAACTGCATTGTGTTGTGGGCTACATTATTATGGAGGGAAGAAAGCTCATACCTCAACATAACCTAAAGAGTAATGAGAAACTGTCACATGATGGCCTCCCAAGGAAGAGAAGCAGGCAAATGAAAGGTGGTCTTGAGGCTGCTTCTCACAGGTTTCCTACCCTCTTGTGTTTTGGGAATATCATAAGGTATTCTACCAAGACTAAGATGATCTTCAGTTCAACCATGTGCCTATATGGCTATGCAGATATATACAAGGTTTGCCTGAGTACCTTGGTGGAACCTTTCCCATAAATTCTGTAGTGCTGCTTGAATTCATCAGAGATCACTCCACTGTTAATACAGATCTTTATTTACAGTTTCCTTGAAGTTCTTGAAACACTCTCCTTCACTCTAGCATTCACTCCTCTTTCTCAGCCCACTGTGTTCCTACCCAAGTGTCAGTTATGTATTAAGGGCTCAATCATCCCTTTGAAGTCCTTCTTGTTAAGCTTGAGGTGAGGGGCAAGCCCCTAATTTTCATACCTTGATAAACAGGACTCATTGCAGATCCATGTCTTTCTCCAACAATCATTTTCTCAAAACCTCCCAATCTCCAACTCATAACCCAATTTATAGTCTCCAGGTGTTTAGATTTGGATGCATAGTCCTTCACACTTGCTTGGCATCTAGGTCCAAAAGCTAGATTTGATTTTTGCTATTTGTCAACCTTGGCTCTTTGGCTAAAGTTCATTTTTAATATTATCTTAAACATAGTTATCTTAGAAAAACCATAATTGCCAAATAATTCATACCACTGATCACTTATTCAATAAGCCATTCTAACTTAATAGTATCCTGTAAGTCCCCTTGAGGTATACTTTTCAAATTAGTAGAATGCTAGAGATGTATTTATTTATCTTTCACCTTTACTCAAAATAAATTAATAATACACAATCAGCAGGTCCAGCAAAAAGAAAAATTAGGATTCCCTAGTAGGCAGACTAGGGCAAATACAACTCAGTGAGAAGGTGAAGGCTGGAGGATATATTAGAAATCAAATGTAAGTGAGCTATATCAAACTACAGTGGCTTCCACAGGGTTTGGTATTCCATTCCAGTTGAGGTACATACCATTCTGTCCTTCCTGGTTGACCATCACTTCATTGTGAGTCATCATCATAACTGATCAGGTTGTCATTTCTCTCAGGTTGATTTGAGTTGGCCAAAGTAGGACAAGAGGCTACGTTAGTGAATTTTTAAGAGGCCTAGTGTACTGCTAGCGTGGCATATCTATTCAGCTAATACTACTTACTGCTCCATTCATTCACTAAACACATTATCAAGTACTTTACTGTCCTCCTGATACAAGTTTGAATTTTATTTGACTTTTTTTTTTCATTGTACCTCTACTGGATAAGCATTTGGAATATGGGATTCTGAGATTAAAGTGATGCCACTAAATAGTAGCTCTTTATAGTATGGTGCAAATCTCAGCCAGGGAAATATTTGTAGACTGTTCTGTAGGAGATTGAGAATATTGTACCTCTGTTTATTGATTCATCCTCAATTCAGTGCACACATTTATCAGGCATGGAAACAGAAAACTATTTCTAACTACTATTTTTTCTCCTTCTGCACTGTAGGTTTTAGAAAATTTTCAAAATAAATGCTTTTAAAAACTAGTTTACAGGAACTGGTTGCAATCTTATAAACTTATCATTTTGAGAACTTAGAATGGCTCAAATCTTCAGCCCACTTACGATGTTTTGACATTCCTCGAGTCCCCAACTTTGGAATATTAAAATTGTGATTTTTTGACAAGTCTTTTTACATACAATCAGACTCCTCCTCATCAAAATGAGCTTAATGTGCATGCTTCTATTTGTAATTTTAAGCACACTAATCTTAGTTCAGCATCATTAGCTTTGGTGGCCTACAATTTTAAATTTTAAATTCTAAACACCAGGTCCAATGTATATGGATTAAAAAGTCTTCTCCCAGGCACCCATTTTCTAGTTGCTGCTTGGTGATACAGAGTAATAAACATCCTCAGCAATTTCCAGTATGATTGAAATCACTTCATTAGTGAGTATGCCCTCAAGTATCCCACCTGCCCAGGGGTTTTAAACCAGCTTGTAGTGCCTCTTAAATTTTAGCATCATCCTGTTCACAGATATTTCCCATACCCACAGTGAGCCATGTGCTTTCCTCTACATATCAATCTTTCCACATTGTTATTACTACTCTCCCGAGCATCAAATGACCCTGTTTCATATGTGAATAATACTAGCTTTGTAATAAACCCAAACAACATAAATGTCACCAGCCTTGGTACATGGGTTAGCAAATTACAGCTCAGGATCAAATGCAGGCAGCTACCTGTTTTTGCAAAATAAAGTTTTATTGGAAAACAGCAGTGCTCATTTTTTGAAAACATATTGTCTGTGGCTTTTTTAAATGACAATGTCAGAGCCGAATAGTTTTGAGAGAACTGTATGCCCTGAAAAGGATAAGATACTTGGTATCTGGACCTTTAGAAAAAGAAGTTTGCCAAACTCTACTCAAAACCAGAATTAATCTCAATAAGCTAAGCATTCAAATTCCAATAATGCCATATCTTAATAATTGGCTTCAAATTTCCGCTTCAAAATGTTTCCATGCATTCAGTGCACTGGGCAGTTGAATAAGTCCATCAGCTTGTGCTGGTTACCACTTGTTATGACTGCTTACATGCTGAAAATCTGACATCACAAAGAGTTACAACACGTAGTGATATGCTTCCTTGATTCATTGTCCCAGCTAGATAAACATCAACTTTCCAGCATACACACAGACAGTTTTACAAATGTGATTTTCTGATTAAAGTATTGGCAGGAACTTGCAGGTTCATTATAGCAGTATTAGAGTCCATTCATCTCAAAGGAGCAATGATATTTACTGACAGGGAACATCTTGCACCCAGCAGAGTGGTAACTACTGTGCCTAGTGGAGAAACAGGTTGCTCACAAAGGATGGATCGATTTCACATCATATCCACTGAGCCTTAGGAAGGTCTGGGTAAACTAGAACACTGGTTCTGAATTCCGAGTGCACATTAGAATCTCTTGAAGAGCTTTTAAAAAATACTGATGCCTAGGTTGTGTCCCAGAAGGATTAAATCAGTATCTCTGGGGATGGGCCTAGGTATTGTTTTTGTAAAACATTAATACCAATTCTTAACTTATTTTAGGGAGTAATTAATACAAGTCCAAACCATCAAATGCCATTTCCCACTTGTTACTATTCCTGACAAATGCTAACGAAAACCTGATTTCAAAAGAAAAAAAAATAAACTGACATAATTTTACCTTACAGGTATTTTGTTTGTTTGAGCCACTCCAGAAGCATCTTACTAGTTTTCTGTCTCTCATTCCCAGACCATGCAAGATACAAGCAAAAAACATTTTCTTAAAGTTTCAATTTAGATGAAATTAACCCTTCTGGGGATGCTCAAATGCTTTATAAATTCTTATAAATATCCCCATACCAAAAACTTCAAAACTTACCTAACATTGGCTGAGTGCTTCCTATGCATTCACTGTGACACTAGACACTTTACATAGATTATCTCATTTGTTAGGTCACAAAACAAGTATCAAAACATTCAAAAAATTAAAATAATATCAAGCATCTTCCCTGACAACAATGGAATAAAATGAAAATTAATAGCAAGAGGAATTTTGGAAACTATAAGAAATATATGGAAATAAAAAACTATACTCCCAAATGACCATGGGTCAATAAAGAGATTTGAAACACTTCTCAAAACAAATTATGATGGAAACATAACATAGCAAAACCTATGGGATACAGCAAAACCAGTACTAAAAGGGAAGTTTATAGTTATAATTGTCTTTATCAAAAAACAAACAAGAAAAACTTCAAAAAAAACAATCTAATGATCCATCTTAAGGAACTAGAAAACCAAACCCAAAATTAGTAGAAGAAAATAAATAATAAAGATCAGAGCAGAAATAGACTTGAAATTGAAAAAATACAAGAGATCAATAAAACAGCTTTTTTTATAAGTTAAACAAAATTGACAAACCTGTATCCAGACCAATTAAGAAAAAAAGAGAGAAGATCCAAATAAATGAAATCAGTAATGAAAAATGATACTGCAGAATTTCAAAGGATCGTTAGTGGCTACAATGAGCAACTATATGCTAGTGAACTGAAAAATATAGGGAAAATAAATAAATTCCTAGACACATACAACCTACCAAGATTGAATCGCGAAGAAATGCAAAACCTGAACAGACCAATAACAACTAATAAGATCAAAGCCATAATAAAAAGTCTCCCAGTAAATAAAGCCTGGCTTAATTCTACTAGCACTTAAAGAACGAATATCAACCCTACTCAAACTATTCCAAAAAACAGAGGATGAAGGACTACTTCCAAACCCGTCCTATGAGGCCAGTATAACACTGATACCAAAACCAAAGACACATCACAAAATAAAAAAAAGAAAAGAAAAAGAAAAATCACTACTGGCCAACATCTCTGATGAATATTGATGCAAATATTCTCAATGCAATACTAGCAAACCAATTTCAACAATGCATTAGAAAGATCATTTATCATGACCAATGGGAAGTTATTACTGTGATGCGAGGATAGTTCAACATACACAAATCAATCCATGTGATGCATCATATAAAAACAATTAAGGATAAAAATGATATAATTGTATCAATTGATGCTGTAAAAGCATTAGATAATATTCAAAATCCCTTCATGAGAAAAACACTCAAAAAACTGGGTAGTGAAGGAACATACCTCAACAGAGTAAAAGTCATATATGACAAACCCACAGCCACTATCGTACTGAATAGGGGAAACTGAAAGTCTGCTCTCTAAGATCTGGAACACATCAAAGATCCCCACTTTTACAACTGTTATTCAACATAGTACTGGAAGTCCTAGCTAGAGCAATCAGACAAGAGAAAAATATAAAGGACATACAAATTTAAGTCAAATTATTCTTGCTTGCAGATGAAATATTTTTATATTTGGAAAAACCTAAATAATACACCAAAAAAGATTGCAAATCATAAACAAATTCAGTAAAGTTGCAAGATACAAAATCAACACACAAAATCCAGTAGCATTTATATATGTCAACAGTGATCAATGTGAAAAAAAAATTAAGAAGTAATCCCTTTTACAATTGTGACACATAAAATTACATAAAATTAAATACCTAGAAAATAGCCAAATAATTGAAAGGGCCTTATAATGAAATCTGTAAAACACTGATGAAATAAATTGAAGAGGAGACCAAAAAATAGAAAAACATTCTCTGTTCACGGATTGGAAAAGTCAATATTGTTAAAATGTCCAAGCTGCCCAAAGCAATCTACAGAGTCAATGCAATCCCTATCAAAACAACAATGATATTATCCACATAAATAGAAAAAACAACACTAAAATTTATATAGAACCAAAAAAAAAAAAAAAGACGCAGAATAGCAAAAACTATTCTAAGCAAACAGAACAAAACTGGAGGAGTCATATTATCTGAATTCAAATTATACTACAGAGCTATAGGAACCAAACAGCATGGTACTGGCCGGGCATGGTGGCACACTCCTATAAACCTCACAGTTTGGAAGGCTGAGGTGGATGGATCTCTTGAGCTCAGGATTTCAAGACCAGGCTGGGCAACATGGCACAACCCTGCCTTTATACAAAATACAAAAAAAAAGTTAGCCCTGCATAGTGGTGTGTGCCTGTAGTTCCGGCTACTCGAAAGGCTGAGGTGGGAAGATGCATGGGCCCTGGAGGTTGAGACTGTCATAAAAACAGATACACAGACCACTGGGACAGAATGAAGAACCCAGAAACAAATCCACACATTTACAGACAGTGAACTCATTTTTGATAATGGTACCGAGAACATACACTGAGAAAAAGACAAACTCTTCAACAAATGGTGATGTGAATACTAGATATCCATATGCAGAAGAATGAAACTAGACCCCTATCTCTCATCATAAAAAAAATCAAAACAGATTAAATACTTAAATCTAAGACAACAAACTATAAAATAACTACAATAAAACTTTTGGGAAAATCTCCAGGACATTGGTCTGGGCAAACATTCCTTAAGCAATACTCCACAAGAACAGGCAACCAAAGCAGAAATAAGAACACATCAAGTTAAAAAGCTTCCACATAGCAAAGGAAACAATCAACAACATAAAGATACAACCTCATATAAATCAGAGAAATTGTTTGCAAACTACCCCCCTGACAAGACAAGGGATGAATAACCAAAATATAAAAGAAACTCAAACAGCTCTATTTAAAAATGCCTAATAATTTGATCATAAAATGGGCAAAAGATTTGAGTAGTTATTTCTCAAATGAAGACATACCCCAATGGCAAACAGGCATAGGAAAAGGTGTCAATATCATTGATCATCAGAGAAATGCAAATCCAAACTACAATGAGATATTATCTCATCCCAGTTAAAACAGCTTATATTCGAAAGAGAGGCAATAACAAATGCTGGTGAGGATGTGGAGGAAAGGGAACCCTCCAAACTGTTGGCGGGAATGTAAATTAGCACAGCTACTATGGAGAACAATTTGAGGTTCCTCAAAAAAATTAAAAACGTAGCAACCATATAATCCAGCAATACCACTGCTCAGTATATACAAAAAAGAAAGGAAATCAGTATATGAAAAAAGGCATCTGCACTCTTATGTTTTGTGTAGCACTGTTTACAATAGCTAAATTTGGAAGCAATCATAGAGTCCATCAACAGACGAATGGATAAAGAAAATGTGGTACATATACATAACGGAGTACTATTCAGTGAGAAAAAAATGAGATCCAGTCATTTGCAACATCATGAATGGAACTAAAGAACATTATGTTAAGTGAAATAAGCCAAGCACAGAAAGATGAACATCACATATTCTCACTTACTTGTAGGATCTAAAAATCAAAACAATTGAACTCATGGACATAGAGAGTAGAAGGATGGTTACCAGAGGCTGGAAAGTGTGGTGAAATGCTGGTGTGGAGGCAGGGATGGTTAACGGTGTGACAGTTAATAGTAGGTGTAAAGTTGATGAAATTGAAGGATGCCGAGATAGCTGGTAAAGCATTGCTCCTGGGTGTGTCTGTGAGGATGTTGCCAGTGGAGATTAACATTTGAGTCAGTGAACTGGGAGAGGCAGACCCACCCTCAATCTGGGTGGGCACTATCCAATCAGCTGCCAGCATGGATTGAACAAAGCAGGCCGAAGAAGGCCGGATACTCTGGCTTGCTAAGTCTTCTGGTTTACATCTTTATCCCTTGATGGATGCTTCTATCCGTTTCTCCTCCCCTTGGGCATCGGACTCCAGTGTCTTTGGCCTTTGGACTCTTGGACTTACACCAGTGATTTGCTGGGGTCTCTCAGGCCTTCGGCCACAGAATGAAGGCTGCACTGTTGGCTTCCTTACTTTTGTGGCTTTTTGACTCAAAATAAGCCACTACTGGCTTCTTTCTTCCTCAGCTTGAAGACAGCCTATCGTGGGACTTCGCCTTGTAATTGTGTGAGCCAATTCTCCTTAATAAACTCCCTTTCATATAAACATATATCCTATTAGTTCTGTCCCTCTGAAGAACTCTGACTAATGCAAATTGTTACAAAAAAAATAGAATGAAAAAGACCTACTGTTTGATAGCATAACAGGATGACTACAGTAAGTAATAATTGTAAATTTTTAAATAATGTAAGGAGTGTAATTTGATTATTTGTCATTCAAAGGATAATGCTTGAGGGGATAGATACCCCATTTCCCATGACATGCTTCTTTCTTATTGCATGCATGTATCAAAATATCTCACGTACCCCATAAATATATACACTTACTGTATATCCACAAAAAATAATTTAAAATAAAGACCACCAAAATATAAAAAGAAATTAAATCCTCTTGATGGAGATTCAGAATGCAAATACACACTCCCAAGTCTCTGAAGGAAATGCACACATGGACACACAAACACAAACACACATGCATGTTCCATGTGCAGTTATTTTAACTCAGGATTTCCAAAACTTATTTGACCACGGAAGAACCTTTTTCTAGCTATACTAAAACTCTGCAGATCTAGTGTTCAATGAATTAACATTGAGAAATGTTGACTTAAGTCATTTGACCATTTCAGTGATTCAATTGTAAATTGAACAACTCACAAGGATTACTATCTAAATTATCTGAAAGTGTTACATTTTGTAATTTTTTCTGTGAAAATAAATCTGTTTTACTTACTTCCGCTCCCCACCTAGACACACACACACACACACACACACACACACACACACACACACACAGCATAGTTTTTCTCCTTCTCTGGCTGGATGGAATATGATGAACTCAACCCATGCCCTGCCTTGCCTTTCAGCTCTTCCTGTGACTTCCTCAGACAGAGAAGTTGTCTGTGGTAGCATGAAAATGTGGCAATTATATCTCCTGTTCCAGGTTGCATAATTGACAGATGGCCTCAGCAGCTGAATCCTAATTCCACCACTCCATTCACACTGACATCACACCTCCCATGGGCTGCTCTCAATGACTGACTATCACAGGAATACTAAGGCAGCCCATTCCTACAACTTATACAACTTATTTTATGTTGGGTCACTCAATAAGTTCCTCATTGGTCTCACCAAAATATTTTTATAATTGCTCTGTGGCCTGAAACTGGATCTATCCAAATCTCCTTCCTTTTCTCTCTTCTTCAAAGGGATTTGACCTACATCAGAGTCTGATGGCTCCTTCCAAAGTTTCTACATTTCCATCTACTTTTTTTCCATAGGCATTTCCACACTATATCACCTCACGTGTCTGATCACATCTTGCCCTCTGCTTCTCAGAGAAGCTGAACTAACAGTGTCCTTCCTCCCATCAATACCCCAGCATATTTTGCATATAGCTATACTTTTGCAATTATCTGTTTATAAAGCTATGACTTTCACTGAAAACTATAAGCTATAGCTCACTTATATAAGTAACCCCCCAATATCTATGAGTATTTTAAAATAAAATGTTAGAGGGAAGAATAAGATGGAGAGAGAGAGAGAGAGAGAGAGAGAGAGAGAGAGAGAGAGAATGAATAAAGAAATAATGGCCAAATAATGAAATTAGCAAATTGACTTGATCTCTTGGGATTAGTTTCCCCATCTTCCCCATCTGTAAAATGCGAATAATAATATCTGTCCTGCTTACCCTACAGAGTTATGTGCATATGAAATAAAGCAACTTAATGCAACTTATGTAGTTACCAAAGAACATGGTCCTTTCCAAAGCTGCTCGTCATTCATTTATTTCCCAAATATTTTTTGAGCTCCTGCTCTGTGTTATACTTGGCTTGAGGTACTAGGAATAAAGAAATCTCAAGGAGCTCAGAGTCAAGTGGGGAATACAGATAGAGACAGAAAAAATATGTTTATGTGGAATAGTGATTGGGTGATGTTTAGGTATGTTCTAGGTACAGCAATCTAACTTGTGTGAGGGGGATAATAACTGGCTTTCTGAGGAAGGTGGCATGTGACTCTTGAGAAGAATCAATAACAGTCAGTGAGATGAAATATGCAATAAGGTGAAATATGTGGGATGAACATTCCGGCAGAGGGAAATACACAAGCAAAGCAGCGGGGAATCAAGAAAAAGCATAGCACATTAGGAAGTTTCAAGAAGATCTGTCAAGCTAGAATATAGAAAAGCAGATGTTTGTGGGAAGAGCAATATATACACATTCTAAATCTCTTCTTAGAATAGAAATGAAAAATAGTTAACAATATATAGATGACAAATATTCAGCAAATATTTAGATGTAAGTTCAACATTGTCTGTCAAACAAGCTTGATAATTATTGAATAGTAGATATGTTACCTGGTTTCTACTATTATTTTTTCTTGTATGTCTTTAATTTTATTTTATCCTGGAGATGAAAAAAGTATTAAACTCAAATGTGAATGGAAGGTGATAAGAGTTCTGGAATTTTGAAAAATAATCAGTCTCTAGCAAGTGACAAGATATATTTGAAAAGACAATTTGACAGAAAATTGTTATTTTATAGTTCACATATATCTTATTTCAAATCACAAATTGTTTTGACCAAGTAATACTTCATTGAGAGTATTAGGATAGTGGGAATGGGAGGTTGATAGAGGAAACATCTCATGCCCACTGTCCTACCATTCAGAATTCACTAAGAAATAAGATTAAAGTTAACATAAATGATTTTTTTGTTTTCCCTCCATGTTGTTAATGTGCATGTTTTGTTTTCATTATAAAAATTATTATATGGGAAAATTATAATTTTGTTTGTGGACCTGCCTCACAATGAAATAGCAAAATGTCAAGAAATCCTAGTTGTCAAAGCTTAGAATTGGTAATGCCACAGAACTCAAAATGGCTTAGAATGAACAGTGTGTTCATAACAAGCAGATGAGTATAAGTTTGACAAGAATGTCAAGTTTCCATATTGCAAAGAGCATAACGGTACAGCTTTCCATTAAGAAGGTGATTTTTGTGTTTCATTTTTGAGTCTAGTACATTTTTATTTTTAAATTCTAATCGAAACATTGACCCCTTTATATTTACCTTTGGTTGAAAGAATAAAATAAAATTTGTCTGTATGTTATTTGATATTTATAGCAAACATGGATTTTATAGATAATTAGTAACTGAGGTGAGAATTCCAGCCATAACAAGGTTAGATTTTCCCCTCATCTTAAAACCACCTCACCACAAGGAGAAAGCTTCATCTCTGGTAAAATAAAGGAAGCACTATTTTGGCATAGCACCATACCTCAAAATATATTTAAAAGGGCTACGAAGTATAGGAAAATTTACACTAGAATGAAAGAGAATGCCAGGAAAGAACACATATAGCTGCTGCTATTGTTGGGCAGAGCCAGCTGACCATTATCTTCTTCAGAGTAGCCAGCCCACTCCCAAAAGGCACACATTTGCAAGGATCTCTTTCACATCTAATGATACCTATCTAATGGTAGATATGGAAAGTAAACAAAGATGATTTATAATTGGTGTCTCTGGGGAAGAAAACAGATTTAAAAATTTCAAAGGCATAACTCAGAAAAGACTTTCCTAATTAATACAAGCTTCAACTCTTGTATTAATTACAAGAGTTAATTATCTAGAGCTTACTCTAGATCAAGTGGGCTCATGATGTGCCAAGAATATTGTTACATTACAATAATAACCATCATACTGGCAAACAATAAAATGAACAATGACACCGAGTGTTTGGTAGAGAGTGAGTAAAGGATACTTTCATTCTCTACTAATTAAAATATAAAATTGCAATATTCCTGGAGAGCTGTTAGAAACTAAATATCAAGAGTACTTTTTATTAGCTTGTATTTGTATATTTACTGTTGTCTGACTCAGTATTTAAAACCTAAAATGGAAAAGGTGATGAAATCGCCAGGAAATGAAGCCAGTCAGCTGAATCTACCTTATACCATGATCAAAACCTCAAGGTAATCAAATAGGGTAAAATTAAAAAAAATCTAAAGGTCAGCAACCTCAAACTCTGAAGGTAGATAAGCCCACAAAGATGAAAAAGTATCAGCACAAGAATGCTGAAAACTCAAAAAGCTAGAGTGCCTTCTTTGCTCCAAATGACTAAATCACCTCTCCAGCAAAGAAGGGTTTGGAACTGGGCTGAGGCTGAGATAGCTGAAATGACAGAAATAGAATTCAAAATATTGATAGGAATGAAGTTTACTGAGCTGCAGGAGTACCTTAAATGCCAATGCAAGGAAGCTAAAAATCCTGATAAAATATTTTAGGAGATGGCAGAAAAAAATAGCCAGTATAGAGAATAATGTAACCAAGTTGATATAGCCGAAAATCACAGTACAAGAATTTCATAATGCAATCACAAGTAGTAATAGCAGAGTAGACTAAGCAGGGGAACGAATCTCAGAGCTTGAAGACTGCCTTTAGATAATAATACAGGCAGATAATAATAGAATATAAAGAATAAAAAAGAATGAGCAAAACTTCTGAGAAATATGAGATTATGTAAAGAGATTGAATCTATGACTGATTGGTGTTCCTGAAAGAGGTTAGGAGAATGGCACCAACTTGAAAAACATATTTCAGGATATAATCCATGAGACCTTCCCCAACCTCACTAAAGAGGCCAACGTTCAAATTCAGGAAATGCAGAGAACCCCAGTATGATACTTTGCAAGAAGATCATCCCCAAGGCACATATTTACCAGATTCTAAGGCAGGAGAATAGGGTCTGGAGGCAGGGAAACTACGGCCAATTCACACTGACTTCTTAGAACTGAATCAAAAGGAAAACCCCACCTCTCCACACCGAAGTAACAAAAGAATCACAGGCTAATATCTTTGCACTGCATCTTGTACCGCATCACAGATAAAAAATGAAAAGTACCTCTGATTTGTTCCCTCCAGCAACCAGTCTTCATGTGCATAGGGTGTAACTTTGTAACTTCACTTCAGCATCTGATTCCTCGCCTCCTGCAAACAATTAGACTGGTCGTGGGCCAAGTCCTCATGTGCAACTTTGTAACTTCACTTAAGCCTCTGATTGGTCACCTCCTGCAACCAATCAGACTGATCACAAGCAAGTCATTATTTATACAAGGTGTAACCAAGTAACTAATGGGAGACCTCTAGAGCGTATTTAAACCTGAGAAAATTCTGTAACCAGCGCACTTGGGCTGCTTGCTGGAGCCCACTCTCACTCTGCTGAGTGTACTTTCATTTCAATAAATCTGTGCTTTCATTGCTTCATTTTCTGTTGCTTTGTTTGTGCATTTTGTCCAATTATTTGTTCAAAATGCCAAGAACCTAGATGACTCCTAGTCAAGACCTTCCACCAGTAACAATTCTCTAAAGTTGAAATGATAGAAAAAATATTAAAGGCAGCTAGAAAGAAAGGTAAGGTTACCTACAAAGGGAAGCCCATCAGTCTAACAACAGATCTCTCAGCTGAAACCCTACGCACCAGAAGAGATTGGAGGTCAATATTCAACACTCAAAAAAAAAATTCAAATCTAGAATTTCATATCTGGTCAAACTAAGCTTTATAAGTGAAGGAGAAATGAGATCTTTTCAGACAAGCAAATGCTAAAGAAATTTGTTACCATCAGACCTTCCGTACAAGAGCTTCTAAAAGAAGCACTAAATATGGAAAGTAGGGACTGTTACAAGCCACTACAAAAACACACTGAGGTACTCAGACCAGTGAAACTATAAATTAACCACATAAATAAGTCTGCAAAATAACCAGCTAACATCATGATAACAGGATGAAATCCATACACATCAATACTAAGCTTAAATGTAAATGGCTAAATGCCACACACACACACACACACACACACACACACACACACACACACAGAGTGGCAAGCTCAATAAAGAACCAAGACCAATTGGTATGTTATCTTTAAGAGACCATCTCACATGCAATGATACATGCATGATCAAAATAAAGAGATGGAGAAAAATTCACCAAGAAAGTGGAAAACAGAAGAAAATCAGGGTTGCAATCCTAGTTTCTAACAAAACAGACTTTAAATCAACAAAGATCAAAAAAGACAAACAAAGAAGGACATTACATAATGGTAAAGGGTTCAATTCGACAAAAGGATCTAACTATCCTAAATATATATGCACCCAAAACAGGAACAACTAGATTCATAAAACAAGTTCTTAGAGACCTTCAAAGAGACTTAGACTTCCACACTATAATAGTGGGAGACTTTTATATACCACTAACAATATTAGACTGATAATTGAGACAGAAAAGTAACAAAGATATTCAGGACCTGAACTCGGCAGTGGGTCTAAAGAACCTGATATCTATCGCAGAAATTCAGAAATTTCCACCCAAAAACCACAGAATATACATTCATTTCATTTCCACATAGCACATGCTCCAAAATTGATCACATAATCAGAAGTAAAACACACCTCAGCAAATGCAAAACAACTGAGATCATGACAACCACTCATACAGATGGCAGTGCAATCGAATTAGAAATCAATACTAAGAAATTCACTCAAAACCATACAATTACACGGCAATTGAACAGCTGTACCTAAATGAGTTTTGGGTAAATAATGAAACTAAGGCAGATATGAAGAATTTTGTTGAAACTAATGAGAACAAAGACAGAACATACCAGAATCTCTGGGACACAGCTAAGGCAGTGTTAAGAGGGAAATTTATAGCACTAAATGCCCACATCAGAAAGTTAGAAAAATCTTAATTTAACAATCTAACATTACAACTAAAAGAACTAGAGAATCAAAGGCAAACAAATCCCAGGGCTGGCAGAAAATAAGCAACAACCAAAATCACAGCTGAGCTGAAGAAGACAGAGCCACGATAAACTTTTCAAAAGATCCATGAATCCGGCACCTGGATTTTTGAAAAAAAAGTAATAAGCTAGATAGACTGCTAGCTAGATTAATAAAGAAGAAAAGAGAGAAGATTCAAATAATCACAATCAGAAATGACAAGGGGGATATTACCACTGACTGCACAGAAATACAAACCACGATCAGATAATATTATGAACACCTCTTTGCACATAAACTAGAAAATCTAGAACAAATGGATACATTTCTGGGCACATACACCTTCCCAAGACTGAACTGGGAAGAAACTGAATCTTTGAATTGAGCAATAGCAAGGTGGGAAATGGAAGGAGTAATAAATAGCTTAGCAACAAAATAAAAGGCCAGGACCAGGCAGATTCACAGCTGAATTCTACCAGATGTACAAAGAAGAGCTGGTACCATTTCTACTGAAACTCTTCCAAAAACTTGAGGAGAAGGGGCTCCTTCCCTAACTCATTCTATGAGACCAGCATCATCCTGACATGAAAACCTGACAGAGATAGAAGAAAATAAAAGAAATTTCAGGCCAACATTCTTGATGAGCATTAATGCAATTATCCTCAAAAAATACTGGCAAACCAAATCTAGAAGCACATCAAAAAGCTTATCCATCAAGATCAAGTAGACTTTATCCCTGGGATGCAAAGTTGGATCAACATACACAAATTATTAAATGTAATTCAATACATAAAATTAACTAAAGACAAAAACCACATGATTATCTCAATAGATACAAAACAGGCTTCATATAAAATTCAACATCTGTTTCTGTTAAAAATTATCAATAAATTAGTTACTGAAGGAACATACCTCAAAATAATAAGAACCATCTATGCAAATCACATAGCCAACATCATACCGAATGGACAAATGCTGGAAGCATTCCCCTTGAAAATCGGGACATGACAAGGATGCCCTCTCTCACCACTAGTACTCAACATAGTATTCAATGTCCTGACCAGGGTAATCAGGCAAGAGGAAGAAATAAAGGGCATGTAAATTGGTAAAGAGCAAGTAAAATTTTCTCTATTTGCAGATGACATGCTTCTATATCTAGAAAACCCCACAGACTTAGCCCAAAAGCTTCTTAAGCTGATAAACAACTTCATCAAAGTCACAGAACACAAAATTAATGTGTAAAAATCACTACCGTTCCCATACACCAACAACAGTCAAGCCAAGAGCCAAATAAGAAATGTACTCCCATTCACAATTGCCACAAAAACAATAAGATAACTAGGAAAACAGCTAACTAGGGAAGTGAAAGATGTCTGCAAGGAGAACTACAAACCACTGCGCAAATAAATCAGAGATGACAGAAACAAATGGAAAAAACATTCTATGCTCATGGATAGGAAGAATTAATATTGTTAAAATGACCATACTGCCATAAGCAATTTATAGATTCAATGCTATGCCTATTACAGTACCATTGACATTCTTCATAGAGCCAGAAAAAGACCATTTTAAAATTCACATGGAATCAAAATGAGCTTCAATGGCCAAGGAAGTAAGCATAATAAAAAACAAAAACAAACAAACAAACAAACAAAAACAAAGCTGGAGGCATCACGCTACCTGACTTCAAACGGTACAACAGGGCTACAATAACCAAAACAACATGGTACTGGTACAAAAACAGACACATAGACCAATGGAACAGAATAGCAAACCCATAAGACTGCACACCTAAAAATATCTGATCTTAGACAAACCTGACAAAAACATGCAATGGGAAAAGGATTCCCTATTTAATAAATGTTGCTGAGATAACCAACTAGCCATATGCAGAAGATTGAAAGTGAACCTCTTCCTAACACCATATGCTAAAATTAAATCAAGGTGGATTAAAGATTTAAATGTAAAACCCAAAACTATAAAAATCCTGGCAGACATCCTAGGCAATACCACTTAGGACAAAGACACGGGCAAAAATTTCATGACACAGATGCTAAAAGCAATTGCAACAAAAGCAGAAATTGACAAATGGGATCTAATTAAACTAAACAAGTTCTGTACAGCAAAAGAAACTATTATCAGAGAGAACAGGCATCCTGCATAACAGGAGAAAACTTTTCCAAGCTATCCATCTGAAAAAGGTCTAATATCCAGAGTCTGCAAGTAACTTAAACAAATTTACAAGAAAATAAGACAACAACCCCATTAAAAAGTGGGCAAAGGACATGAAAAGACACTTCTTGATATGGTTTGGGTGTGTCCTCACCCAAAACTCAACTTGATTTGTATCTCCCAGAATTCCCACGTGTTGTGCAAGGGATTCAGGGAGAGGTAATTGAATCAAGGGGGCCAGTCTTTCCTGCGCTATTCTCGTGATAGTGAGTAAGTCTCATGAGATCTGGTGGGTTTATCAGGGGTTTCTGCTTTCGCCTCTTCCTCATTTTTCTCTTGCCACCAACATGTAAGTAGTGCCTTTTGCCTCCCATCATGATTCTGAGGCCTCCCCAGCCACGTGGAACTGTAAGTCCAATTAGACCTCTTTTTGTTCCTAGTTTCTGGTATGTCTTTATCAGCAGCATGAAAATGAACTAATACAGTGAATTGGTACCAGTAGAGTGGGGTGTTGCTGAAAATATACCCAAAAATGTGGAAGAGACTTTGAAACTGGGTAACAGGCAGGGGTTGGAACAGTTTGGAGGGCTCAAAAGAAGACAGGAAAATATGGGAAAGTTTGGAACTTCCTAGAGACTTGTTGAATGGCTGTGACAAAAATGTTTTGTGATATGAACAAAAAGGTCCAGGCTGAGGTGGTCTCAGATGGAAATGAGAAACTTGTTGGGAACTGGAGCAAAGGTGACTCTTGTTGTGTTTCAGCAAAGAGACTAGCGGCATTTTGCCCCTGCTGTAGAGATTTGTGGAACTTTGAACTTGAGAGAGATGACTTATGGTATCTGGTAGGAGAAATTTCTAAGCAGCAAAGCATTCAAAAGGTGACTTGGGTACTGCTAAAAGCATTCCATTTTAAAAAGCAAACAGAGCATAAAAGTTCAGAAAATTCACAGCCTGACGATGTAGCAGAAAATAAAAACCCATTTTTCTGAGGAGGAACTCAATCTGGCTGCAGAAATTTGCATAAATAGCAAGGAGCCTAAAATTAATCCTCAAGATCGTGGGGAAAATGTCTCCAGGCCATGTCAGGGACCTTCACAGCAACCCCTCCCATCACAGTCCCAGAGGCCAGGAGGAAAAAGTTGTTTGATGGGGTGGGCCCAGGGTCCCCGTGCTGTGTGCAGCCTAGGGACTTGGTGCCTTATGTCCCAGCTGCTTCAGCTGTGGCTGAAAGGGGCCAATGTAGAGCTTGGGTTGTGGCTTCAGAGGGTGGAAGCCCCAGGCCTTGCACGTTCCATGTGGTGTTGAGCCTGCGGGTGCACAGAAGAATTGAGGTTTGGGAGCCTCCGCCTAGATTTCAGAAGATGTTTGGAAATGCCTGGAAGCCCAGGCAGAAGTTTGCTGCAAGGGCAGAGTCCTCATGGAAAACCTCTGCTAAGGCAGTGAGGAAGGAAAATGTGGGGTCAGAGCCCCCACACAGAGTTCCTACTGGGGCACGGCCTAGTGCAGTTGTGAGAAAAGGGCCACCATCCTCCAGACCCCAGAATGGTAGCTCCACCCACAGCTTGCCCCATGAACCTGGAAAAGCCACAGACACTCAATGCCAGCCCATGAAAGCAGCCAGAAGGGAGGCTGTACCCTGCAAAGCCACAGAGGCAGAGCTGCCCAAGACCATGAGAGCCCACATCTTGCATCAGCGTGACCTGGATGTCAAATGTGGAGTCAAAGAAAATCATTTTGGAGCTTTAAAATTTGACTGCCCTCCTGGATTTGAAACTTGCATGGGCCCTCTAACCCCTTTGTTTTGGCCAATTTCTCCAATTTGGAACCTGTATTTACCCAATACCTGTACCCTCATTGTATCTAGGAAGTAACTCACCTGCCGTTGATTTTACAGGCTCAAGGCAGCAGAGACTTGCCTTGTCTCAGATCAGACTTTAAACTGTGGATTTTTGGATTAATGCTGAAATGAGGACTTTGGGGAACTGTTAGGAAGGCATGATTGGTTTTAAAATGTGAGGTCATGAGATTTGGAGGGACCAGGGGCAGAATGATATGGTTTGGCTCATACCTCCCCCAAATCTCAGCTTGAATTTTATCTCCCAGAATTCCCCCATGTTGTGGAAGGGACCCAGGAGGAGGTAATTGAGTCATAAGGGTCAGTCTTTCCCGTGCTTTTCTCAGGATAATGAATAAGTCTCATGAGATCTGATGGTTTTATCTGGAGTTTCTGCGTTTGCTTCTTTCTCATTTTTCTCTTGCCACTGCCATGTAAGAAGTGCCTTTCACTTCCCATCATAATAGTGAAGCCTCCCCAGCAATGCGGAACTGTAAGTTCTAAACCTCTTTTATGTTCCCAGTTTCAGGTATGTCTTTATCAGCAGTGTGAAAACAAACTAATACGCTCCTCAAAAGAAGACACACATGTGGCCAACAAACAAGTGAAAATAAGCTCAACATCACTGACCATTAGAGAAATGAAAATCAAAACCACAATGAGATACCATCTCATGCCAGTGAGAATGGCTATTATTAAAAAGTAAAAAAAAAAAAATACAGATGTTGGTGAGGTTGTGGAGAAAAGGGAACCCTTATACACTATTGGTGAGAGTGTAAATTAGTCAACCATTGTGGAAAGCAGAGTGGTAATTGCTCAAAACCTAAACACAGAAATACCATTCTAGCTAGGAATCCCATTACTGGATATATACCTACAGGAATATTTTTGTTCTATTATAAAGATACATGCATGTGTATGTTCAATGCAGCATTATTCACAGTTGTAAGGACGTAGAAACAGCCTAAATGCCCATCAATAGTTTACTAGATAAAAAAAAATGTGGTACAAATACACCATGAAGTACTATGCAGCCATAAAAGATAATGAGATAATGTCCTTTGGAGGAATATGGATGGAGCTGGAGGTCATTATCCTTCGTAAAATAATGCAGGGACAGAAAACCAAATACCCCATGCTCTCACTTATAAGTGGGAGCTAAATGATGAGAGCACATGGACATATAGAAGGGAACAACACACAGTAGGGCCAATTTGAGGGTAGAGGTTGGGAGGAGGAAACAGATCAAGAAAAATAACTAATGGGTACTAGGCTTAATAACTGGGTGATGAAATGGTCTATACAACAAACCCCCACGACACAAGTTTACCTATATAACAAACCTGCACATGTACCCTTGAATTTAAATAAAAGTTAAAGAAAAATTAACTATAAAAATTAAAAAAAAATGGTGAAGGTGACAGCAGTAGGTTAGAGTGAACATCTCCAAAGTTTTGCATCATGATCAAATGCTTTCGTTGTATGTTGCTCTTTTTATTGAAGAGCCATTCCAAATATTGTGAGATGCATTGCTGCAAGAAGCTGTTTAACTTCTCTCAATAGCATTTCAAACATAGTTAGTTTTAACTTACTAACTTGTTTTGAATTGATACTAATTACTTAATAGAATATTCATGATGAGGCATAGTTACAAATGTGTTCACCACAACATCATTCTTAAAAATTAAAAACAAAATCCTCTAAAACTCTGAATATGGGCTGAAGTTTTTCCTTGATGTATATATGAGTATATATGGAATACATTTACATAGAATGTGTGTGTTAAATATTGGGATGTTTATGCACTAGTATTATTATTATTATGTTGGAGATGGAGTTTCGCTCTTGTTGCCCAGGCTGGAGTGCAATGGTGCGATCTCAGTTCACTGCAACTTCCACCTCCTGGGTTCAAGTGATTCTCCTGCCTCAGCCTCCAAGTAGCTGGGATTAGAGGCATGTGCCATCACGCCCAGCTAATTTTGTATTTTTATTAGAGACAAGGTAGCACCATGTTGGTCAGGCTGGTCTTGAACACCAGACCTCAGGTGATCTGCCCGCCTCAGCCTTCCAAAGTGCTGGGATTACAGGCATGAGCCATCGCACCTGGCTGAATTATTATTTTAATAAATGGTTATCTTTGGTACTGAGATTTACTAAAATTTATGTTTCAGTTTTCTGTCTTCTTATCTTTTTTTTAATTTTTATTTTTTACATGGGCACATACTAATAAAAGTGGGAAAATTTTCAGGTTAGGGAAATGTAGTCTACTAGACCTTAAACTAGTCTCCAGGGTGTGACCAATACAAGCCCCAGATGTATAAACTGAAAAAAGACTTTAGGGAAATGGTAAGCAAGTTACTTTGCTAATCTGAAAAATATAGGGTTAGGATCCAGACAGATCCAGACCCTGATACTCGATTTCTTTATATAAGGCTTACACTTTGTTTAGCATAACTCAAATTGTAACGCCCGGTACTGAACTACTAGACTCATAATAATTTTAAGGCAATTATATATTTCATATTTTTTAAAATCAATCTCAATGAATCTATCTACCTATCTATATATCTGTAAGGTAAAACACAGCATAGTATTGGGCATATTATTATGTATGTATGCATATGTATATAGAAATATATATTTAAATTTCTTTCTAGAAACAGTTCAATAAATGGAAGGCTTTTAAATGCATGAGTTTCTAGCAAAATTATGTAAACTTATAAGTTGTTGCATCTTTTAATCACAGAAGAATTTGATTCCTTAAGTACAACTCAAGAATATATGACTTTGGTGAATTAAAATGGAAAAACTACTCGGGTAAATCATTCCCGTCGTAAGTCTAAGAAATACTTTCATAAATCAATCCAAAGCTTCAGATCATGCAGAAAGGTACTTGTCTATTATTTTCATTATTCCGGAATCTGACACAGCCAGGCCCCAGGCCCCTCCCAAATCTCATGTTCCTTACACATTTCAAAACCAATTATGCCATCTCAACAGTCCCTCAAAGTCTTAATTAATTCCAGCATTAACCCAAAAGTATAAATCCAAAGTCTCATCTGGGATAAGGAAAGTCCCTTCCACCTATGAGCCTGTAAAATCAAAAGCAAGTTAGTTATTTTCTGGATACGATGGGGGTAGAGGCATTGGGTAGATACACCCACTCCAAATGGAAGAAATTGGTCCAAAAAATGGACACCAAGCAAGTCCAAAATCCAGTGGGGCAGTCAAACCTTAAAGCTTCAAAGTGATCTTTTTTGACTCCATGTCCCACATCAAGGTTCTGCGGATGCAAAAGGTGGGCTCCCATGCCCTTGGGAAGCTCCAACCCTGTGGCTTTGCAGGGTACAGCCCCCCTCCCAGCTGCTTTCATAGGCTGGCATTGAGTGTCTTCAGCTTTTCCAGGTGCATGGTAAAAGCTGTCGGTGGATCTACTGATACCATTCTGGGGTCTGGAGAATGGTGGCCCTCTTCTCACAGCTCCACTAGGCAGTGCCCCAGTGGGGACTCTGTGTGGGGGCTCCAACCCAACATTTCTCTTCTGCATTGCCCTAGCAGAGGTTCTCCATGAGGGCTTCACCCCTGCAGCAAACTTCTGCCTAGATATTCTGGCATTTCCATACATCCCCTGAAATCTAGGCAGAAGTTACAAAACCTCAGTTCTTGACTGCTGTGTACTCACAGGCCCAACACCACATGTAAGCCACCAAGGCTTGGGGCTTGCACCCACTGAAGCAATAGCCTGTGCTGTACGTTGGTCCCTTTTAGCCATGGCTGGGATGCAGGGCACCAAATCTCTAAATTGCACAAAGCAGAAAGGCCCTAGGCCCAGCCCAGGAAACAATTTATTCCTCCTAGGCCTCTGGGCCTGTTATGGAAGGGGCTGCCGTGAAGACCTCTGACATGCCCTGGAGACATTTTCTCCATTGTCTTGGCGATTAACATTTGGCTAGTTACTTACGCAAATTTCTGCAGCTGGTTTGAATTTCTCCTCAGAAAATGGGTTTTTCTTTTATATCACATCATCAGACTGCAAGTTTTCTAAACTTTTATGCCCTGCTTCCCTTTTAAACATAAGTTCCCATTCCAAGTCATCTCTTTGTGAATATATAAAACTGAATGCTTTTAAGAGCACCCAAGTCACATCTTGAATGCTTTCCTGCTTAGAAATTTATTCTGCCATATACCCTAAATCATCTCTCTCAAGTTCAAAGTTCCACAGTTCTCTAGGGTGGGGACAAAAAGCTTCCAGTCTCTTTACTAAAGGATAGCAAGAGTCACCTTTATTCCAGTTCCCAACAAGTTCTTCATCTCTAACTAAACCAACCTTAGCCTGGACTTCATTGTCCATATAAATATCAGTATCTTCATCAAACCCATTCAACAAGTCTCTAGGAAGTTTCAAACTTTTCCACATTTTTCTGTCTTCTTCTTAGCCCTCCAAACTGTTCCAAACTCTGTCTGTTACCCAGTTCCAAAGTTGCTTCCATATTTTTGGGTATCTTTTCAGCAGCACCTCACTACTTCAGTACCAATTTATTGTATTAATCCATTATGACACTGCTGAAAAAGACATACCTGAGACTGGGTAATTTATAAAGAAAAGAGGTTTAATTGACTCACAGTTCAGCATGGCTGGGGAATGCCTAAGGAAACTTACAATCATGGCAGAAGGCAACGGGGAAGAAAGGCACCTTGTTCACAAGGCAGCAGGAAAGAGAAGTGCCGAGCAAACAGGAGGAGAACCAATTATAAAACCATCAGATATCATGAGAACTCACTCATTATCACAAAAACAACATGGTGGAAACCACCTCCATGATTCAATTACCTCCACCTGTTCTTTCCCTTTACATGTGAAGGTTATGGGGATTATGAGGATTACAATTCAGGATGAGATTTGGGTGGGGACACCCAAATCATATCAATAGCAATACACAAAGTCAAAAGCTACATATATAGTGGAAAAAAGCACTGTGCTGAGTATCAGCAAATGGTGATGGTGGTAATAAGAAATACTTGTATAATACATTATATTTACTAGGAATGTTCACAAAAAGCACTTCATGTAATCCTCGCAAAAGAGCATAATAAAATAGGCACCTTATTATCCTCATTTTGCAAATGAAGAAAACTGAGACTCAAGAGTTTAAAATGACTTGCCCAAGTCATACACAGCTGGTGGTAGAAGTGGGATTAAAACTTACATGTTATAATGTGATGGACTGGCTTTAAGAGCTGGCTTTATCACTTATTAGCTGTGCAAAATTCAATAAATTTCATCCTTTCTTTGGGACTTAGTTTCCTCATATGTAAATGGTTCAGGCTAGATGGTCTCCACTTTTATCCAGTCAGTATATTTGTGTTCCATAATCTCTTTGGAGGAAAAGATTTAATGGTTTAAAAACAATTAAGACTGCTTCCTTAGAATAAATAACATTGGAAATCTCCTGCTGATTTGATTACATTTGCTTATAGCAAAAATGTTAATACTGTGTTCAATTCCAAGCCATTTCGGCCATATTGCAATTTTGTAGATACTATATATAACTTACTGTAAAATTCATTGCAAAATAAAATATCTCATGCAAGCACACATACATATACATATACACACAAGCACAGGTATCTCAGATGGAGATTCCACTTGCATAGCTAAAGAATTTGCTAGATAATGTGAGAGAGGTCCGAGATGACTGCTAGTTGACATTGGAAAGCTGCTAGAATTGTACTTGTCTGACTTGACACAATGGAAAAACTGTAGTCAAAAACCAACACAGAAGTTTGGTTGTGAGGTGTCTCAGCTATGAAGATGTGCACATTAAAGACTCTTTGACATTAGAGTTAATAATGGGTTTGAAAGAGTGATTTTGGCCACTTAAGTCGATGATAATGGAAGCCTCATTGACCTCCACTGAGACTGTAACAGCATATTGGAGAGCAATGAAGGCACTCAAACAACAGCTCTTCGATGTCTTTATACTTTTGATATTACTTTCTCTCTTCATCTTTAAACTATAACATTTACAATTTTTAATGAGGTAATCAGCTAGGCCAGCAAAATAAAACATTAACACCATGAGATGTGTACTTAACATATAAGAGGTGTGTTATAGAACATTTTCCTTGTCCTTCCTTTTTATGGCATCTGTATGTTTTTCAAAGGTTTTGAGCTCATTTGTAATGCATCTTTTCCCATACTAGCCCAAGATGACAAATTACATCTTGACACTAACTCCTTCTCTTTCAGTGTGTTCTTAGATGTTTTCCAACAGCTTTCAGTTTTTGGATAATTAGTTCTAACTCAATTAAATTCTTTGACGAAAGGAGATGATTTGAAACTTACATTTGTATTAGTTAGGACGCAATAAGTAAAAGAAAAGGTATTGGTGCATTTGACAAATTGTCTTCACATATAGTTAGCTGTGCAAATACCTCACACCTCAATTCACCATTTTGAAAAAATGTATCACTTTGCATTAGATATTGTACTAGGTGTTGGAAAGACAGAGAGAGAAAACAGGCATTTTATGATAAGCTCTCTAAAAGCCCTGGGTCTAATGCAGCACTCTGTATATATAGGGTGCATAATAAATATGTGTTAAAGGGTATTAAGTTGGGGTACTTACCATGGAAAGATAATTGCGTTGGAGATAAAGTTGAAAACATGAACTTCAGTTTCACCATCTATAAAATGATGAAATAGAAATATATTATCCTTAATCTTTCCCTTTAAGGGAAGTAGACTCATGAAGGAGTTGCATTTTTTTGCTGTCTATTTCCCCTTAATTATAAATCAAAAGCAAACTATTCCTTTCCTTGAACAGTAATCAAAGGTGAAGAGAGTAAGGTGAGCATGATTTCGTATTCCCGATGGTCTTTCTTCTTGTCTCTGAGATCCTGATTTTAATTGTTTTGAATAAATATGTAGAGGTGAGATTGCTGAATCATAGGGTAGTTTCATTTATAATTTCTTGAGGAACATTCATATTGTTTTCCATCATTGCTGTGCCAAATTAAATTCCCATTAACAGTGTGCAAGGTTTCCAACTTTTCCACACCCTTGGCAACACTTGTCATCCTTTATTTTTTTGACAATGATCCTAATGACTAGGAGGTAATATCATTGTGGCTTTTATTTCCATTTCCTAGATAGTTAGTGATATTAAGCACCTTTTCATGTATCTCTCGGCCATTTGTACGTCTTCTTTGGAGAAATATTTATTTAAATCTTTTGCTAATTTTTAATACCATTATTTATTTTATTTATTTTTCCTATGGAGTTAAAGAAGATATATATTTTAGATATCAATCCTTTATCAGATATAAGGTTTGAAAATATTTTTTTCCCATTCTGTGCTGCCTTTTTTCTTTTTCTTTTTTAAGACAGAGTCTCACTCTGTCACCCAGGCTGGAGTGCAGTGGTGTGATCTTGGCTCACTGCAACCTCTGCCTCCTGGGTTCAAGCAAATCTCCTGCCTCAGCCTCCCGGGCAGCTGGGATTACAGGCACCTGCCACCAGGTCCGGCTAATTGTTGGATTATAGTCAAGACAGGGTTTCACGATGTTGGTCAGGCTGGTCTTGAACTCCTAACCTCAAATGATCCACTCGCCTCGGCCTCCTAAAGTGTGGGGATTACAAGTGTGAGCTACCGTGCCCGGACTGTGCTGCCTTTTTCACTCTGTTGTTTGTTAACTTTGTGGTGCGGAAGCTTTTTAGCTTGATGTAGTCCCAATTGTCTGTTTTTGCTTCTGTTGCCTGTGCTTCTTGTGATGTATCCATAAAATCATTGCCAAGACTAATGCCTTGAACTTTTCCCCTACGTTTTCTTCAAGAAGTTTTACAGTTTTAGGTGTTATACATAAACTTTTTATCGATTATGGGTTGATTTTTATGTATGGCATAAGATAGGTGTCCTATTACATTCTTTTGCATGTGAACATTTAGTTTTTCTGTACTATTGGTTGAAGAGAATATTCTTTCCACATTGTGTCTTCCTGGTGCCCTTTTCAAAGATTAATATGCCATATATGCTTGGGTTTATTTCTGGGCTCTTTACTTTGTACCATTAGTTGCTATGTCTGTCAGAAAGTTATTTCTCCTATACTCACTAAGGACCTCAGTTATATCTTTATTATAGCATTTATCACATTGTGGTGAGTATCTCAGAGTATTTTGGATGTAAAAAAAATACATGGTACACAGTGGGTGCTCACTAGATAAGTGAAGAATTTGCATGATAATGACAACTACATGTAGGCTCTCTACTAGTCCTAGATTTGACATGAATCACATCTAGACTTAGGGCCAGGGAAGAGAAGAATACTCTATGAAATGAGGCATCATCATATATTATGGCCAGAAAAATAGTAAAATCAGGGCGGATAGATGGCACACAAATTCTAAATCCTTTCCCTAACAAGATCAAGAATGTGGTTAGGAAGCCAGTAGCTGGCTTTGATTAATTTTAGATTTAGATTGCATTTGACAAACAACATTGAGTTATCCAAGACTAGATGTTTGCAAAGCAATCAACATTGCTATCTGAACTCACTGATCAGTTAATGTATTCTATAACCAGTTTTGACTATTTTATTAAAATATAAGTTGGTAAATACAATACTAAATGAAAAGAAACAGGATTTTGCAAATATGTAGCAAAAAAGCTACTAGTCATCCATTCTGCTAACAACATTAATAAGGGTTTACTTTATTGAGTGTTTATGTACTGAATATTGGTAGTTGAAGCCCCACCATCTATTCACTATTTGTTATAGAGAAGCTGACTCCAGTGTGAGCTAGTGGAGTTCAGCATTTGAGATGTGGATGTGAGGTCCAGACCTACTAGAGCCGGTTTTCTACCAGGAGGAAAGCCAGTCTGAGGAAGAATATGGCCCAGGTAGGAGAGCAAAGCTGAGATAATCACAGAGGAATTGGACTACTGATGACATGAGGAAGCTGTGGATCACATTGTGACTGAAGCATTTCCAGACTCTGGACCTCTCAGTTAAGGAGCCAGACAATTTTCCTTATTTTTGAAATATGCTTCATTTGGGTTTTATAATACTTTCTACTGAAGGGCATCTAATTCAAAGTTTACTCTGTGCAAGTTCTTATGCTGAACTTTTACGTGGGCTACCTTATTTACTCCTCATCTAAATCTCTGTAAGGGAGGCATGACAGACATTGCAACAGTTGTTTCTACTGATACCAGATATATACTATCAGAATCCTTTTCAACACAGGGCTCTTGGTTGCTTTTACCAATCACCTGTAGGTTATATGGTTTGGCTGTGTCCCCACCCAAATCTCATCCTGAATTTTAGTTCCCATAATTCCCACTTGTCATAGGAGGGAACCAGTGGGAGGTAATTGAATCATGGGGGCGATTACCCTCATGACATTTTCATGATAGTGAGTTATCATGAGATCTGATGGTTTTATAAGGGGCTTTTTTCCCTTTTGCTTATTCTTCTCCTTCCTGCTGCCATGTGAAGAAGGACTTGTTAGCTTTCCCTTCTGCCATGATTGTAAGTTTCCTGAGGCTTCTCCCGCCATGCTGAACTGTGAGTCAATTAAATCTCTTTCCTTTATAAATCACCCAGTCTCAGGTGTATATATATTAGCAGCATGAGAACATACTAATACAGTAGGGGACACAAACAATGAAATTTAATGCAACACTCTACACATATAAGGTGCTTCATAAATATATTTTGGCATGTATTAAGTTGGAGTCATTACTATAGAAAGATCACTGGAGTAGCACCTTCAAAGACTTCCTTCCTCTCTCCAGTGCCTGAGGTCCCAGGAGCCCAATAGAATGTAACTTCAGTATCTTCTCATAGACACAAGGATTTCCCCTTGCTCTTTTTTGCATTATCTCCTTCAAGATTTTGCTCTCCTAGGTATTCCTCAGTATGTATTTTTCTACTATTCTTCTTCTCTAGTTGGTCCCTTTAAGTTGATTTCTTGTTTAGCCTGTCTATCCACAATTTAATTCAGCTTCTATTTGTTCATGTTTTCCTTCTTTGTACTAAATAATCTTTAATGCTATATAAATGAGCATCTTAGCAAATTCCTTACTGAGCCCTATTGTCAGCTTTGTCAGGAGAAGAATCATTTATACCTAGGATATGAGGTAGCAAATTGACCCAGGAGAACATTTTTACAACATGTTAAGTCCAGGACTTGTTAAGCTGTTTTATTGCCATACAGATGAAAGCTATGTTTTGTTTTGTTTTGTTTTGTTTTTTGAGACAAATTCTTGCTCTGTTACCCAGGTTGGAGTGCAGCGGCACGATCTTGGCTCACTGCAATCTCCACCTCCTGGGTTCAAGCAGTTCTCCTGCCTCAGCTTCCCAAGTAGCTGGGATTACAGGCATCTGCCACCATGCCTGGCTAATTGTTTTGTATTTTTAGTAGAGATGGGGTTTTACCATGTTATCCACGCTGGTTTTGAACTTCGGACTTCAAGTGATCCATCCGCCTCGGCCTCCCAAAGTGCTGGGATTACAGGCATGAGCCAACACGCCCGGCCTGAAGCTATGTTTTACGCATTAAGATTGCTTTTTTGTTCATCACTAAACCCATCTGAGTTTTCAATGACAAAATCTGGTCAAAGAAAATCACAGTTCACCTCTCTGATAGAGTAAATGCAAATTCAAGTTTCCTAGGGTTATACTAAGGGTTGAAATAATCACAGTTGATACATTGGCTATTGTTTCTTATCACCAGCTGGAATTAGAATATCATCCTATAAAGTGAAATATGTTACATTTTTTATTATCATTATGTTGTAATATGTTAGCATCCAATTGGATGTTTATTATTACTAACAATTTATTAACAATGACCCTATGACAGAAAATAAGACATAAAAGAAAGAGCATGGAACAAACTTAGATATATCTTCAAAATAAATGACAAGATTATTATTTTTCTATTGTGGAATATAAAACGGTGCCAATGCTTTTGCATTTCTTATTGTCATTGAGTATGGAATAGAACCTGGCAGAGGCAGATGCCAATTGCTTATTAAAATGAAATGGTACACTACTGTGGAAGAAAGCTACCACCTGTGCTTCCTTCCAGTAGGTATAATTATCCCTTAATGATCCATGGAAGGATTATGCAATACTTGTATTTCATACCAACCAAGCAGCTCTTTTCTGTCACACAAATTTTGACAAATAATAAAAAAGAAAGAAAATATATTCTTCCTCAACATAATGTTAAGATAATTAAATTACATTTAATTTCCTGGACATGTTTCTGTGGAAATACCTATAGGCTATGTAAGAGAGCAGATGCAGAAACCTTTAATACAATGGTATCTGGGCAAACCAATGATTATTATTTGTATAACATAATTACTTCCACTATTAATACTACCACTGTTTGTATTTGTCAAAATTTTGGCTTCCCTAAATCTGATCAACCTTTATGTGTTTGGGAGACTCCTATGCCATGAGGTAGATCTCACCTGACATCCATCCACTCAATCATAAATATGTATTTAGTATCTATGACAATCCAGGTATTGTTCTAGGCATTTGGGGTACATAAGCAAACAAAATATCCTATTCTCCATGTAAGCCCCACCCCTGCAGCAAACTTTTACCTGGGCATGCAGTCATTTTCATACATCTTGTGAAATCTAGGGGAAGGTTCCCAAACCTCAATTCTTGACTTCTGTGCACCTGCAGGCTTAACACCACTTGGAAGCTGCCAAGGATTGGGGCTTCCACCCTCTGAAGTCATAGCCCAAGCTCTACATTGGCCTTTTTTAGTCATGGCTGGAGCAGCTGAAACACAGGGCATCAAGTTCCTAGGCTGCACACAGCATGTGGACCCTAGGCCTGGCCCAAGAAACCACTTTTTCCTCCTGGGCCTCCAGGCCTGTGATGGGGGATGCTGTCATGAAGGTCTCTGACATGGCCTAGAGATATTTTTCCCCATGGTCTTGGGGATTAACATTAGGCAACTTGCTATTTATGCAAATTTCTGCAGCTGGCTTGACTTTCTCCCAGAAAATGGGATTTTCTTTTCTATCACATTGTCAGGCTGCAAATTTTCTGAACTTTTATGCTCTTTTTCCCTTTTAAAACTGAATGCCTTTAACAGTACCCAAGTCTCATCTCGAATGCTTTGCTGCTTAGAAATTTCTTCTGCCAGATACTGTAAATCATCTTTCTCAACTTCAAACTTCCATAAATCTCTAGGGCAGGGGTAAAATGCTGCCAATCTCTTTGCTAAAACATAACAAGACTCACCTTTGCTTCAGTTCCCAACAAGTTCCTCATCTCCACCTGATACCACCTCAGCCCGGATTTTATTGTCCATATCACTATCAGCATTTTGGGCAAAGCCATTCAACAAGTCTCTAGGAAGTTCACCCTCCAAACTGTTTCACCCTCTTCCTGTTACCCAGTTCCAAAGTTGCTTCCACATTGTTGGGTATCTTTTCAGCAATGCCCCACTCTACTGGTACCAGTTTACTGTATTAGTCCACTTTCACACTGCTGATAAAGACATATACAAGACTGGGAACAAAAAAAATGAACTTACAGCTCCACAAGGCTGGGGAGGCCTCAGAATCATGGTGGGAAGTGAAAGGCACTTCTTACATGGTGGCAGAAAGAGAAAGTGAGGAGGAAGCAAAAGTGAAAGCTCCCAATAAACCCATCAGATGTTGTGAGACATACTCACTATCATGAGAATAACATGGGAAAGATGGACCCATATGATTCAATTGTGTCCCCCTGGGTACCTCCCACAACATGCAGGGATTCTGGGAGATACAATTCAAGTTGAGATTCGGGTGGGGACACAGCCAAACCATACCGTACATACATTTAAGAAATATTAATAAAGACAAAGACAATTGTTTACCCAATTTTTGGTGAATCAGTGAGTGAAAATTGTTGTAGTGGTTTAAATAAAATAATATATGTTTGCTAAGCAAACATTATAAGGGGCATCTTCTGCCACCACTCAGTTAAGAAACAAGCAATTAAAAATATTACAGGTGGCTCACGCCTGTAATCCCAGCACTTTGGGAGGCCGAGGCAGGTGGATCACGAGGTCAGGAGATTGAGACTATCCTGGCTAACAAAGTGAACCCCCGTCTCTACTAAAAATACAAAAAATTAGCCAGGCATGGTGATGGGTGCCTGTAATCCCACATACTCGCTACTTGGGAGGCTGAGGCAGGAGAATGGCGTGAACCTGGGAGGCGGAGCTTGCAGTGAGCCGAGATCACGCCACTGCACTCCAGCCTAGGTGGCAGAGCGAGACTCCATCTCAAAAAAAAAAAAAAAAAAAAAAAAAAAAAAATTACAGGCCCACTGATTGTTGCCTTACTGCATCATTTATTATCATGCATTTGTATGATTATTGTGGACTTTCCAAATATTTATTTTACCATAATGTATTCATGTAGCCATTCATTTTCCACCCTGCCCATTCTGTTTCAGGGTCATGGGTGGCCAGAGCCTGTCCAGGCAGCTCAGGGTGCATGGCAGGAACAAGTCCTGGCCTGGGTGCCATTCCATTGCAGAGTGCACTCACACGTACCCTGACACTCACTCACTCAGAAAATGTATACATGCCAGTTCACCTGGTGTGCACAGCTTTGGAATGTGGGAGAGGCATGAAGTACCCAGAGAAAACTCACACAGACATAATAAGAATGTGCAAACTCCATACAGACAGTGGCCCTGGCCGGAAATTGATTTTATTTTCTCATCAAGGGTTTTTAAAAAGACATTGAATGAAACAAGATTATTTGAAGACCTGCTCTACTACATAGTGGTCAAATATAATCGATCCTTTATGAAAGGAAACATTTTCCTAGTGTCACCTTATGAATTATCACTAAATGTTAATTCGTTACAGTCTATTGTTAAAAAGCAAACAAGGAATTTGATAATTTTTCAAATGGCTGTTTGGATTATGCAAGTGCAGGGGTACGGGACAGAATGGTGACGTGCTGAGTGAAGGATTAAAGAGGTATACTCCAGGGAATTCTCTTCGGAATTGTTGCCTTTAGGCCTGATTACTTGGTTCTAATTGAACTATTGTATGTAGTGTGCTAATATGTTTTCAAAATTGTATACTCTACTTAAAACTATTTTATGTTTTCTAAAGCCTTTTTTTTCTGCACAATACAACCTTCAGGGTATATGTTTGTTGGCTAATAAAATATCAAAGGCATGCATGTATTGGCAGACAAGCCCATACCCTGGAGTGTGTTATTGCTTGCATAATTAGCCATCAATTATCACCAGTTGCATTTGCAGCTGTTCCATTTGCAGATCTTTGGAATTTCAAGGTAGCCCAATTAGCATGTTGTGAACTTTCTCCCACTTGCGACAAAGTGGGAAAATAGTCCCTTCTTTGAAGAATCTCTACTTAAGGAGAGTCTGCACAACCATCTGAGAAGGAGCTATTTCAGTCAAACCACTTTAAAGACACTGTGAAAATATTAATATGTCACCAAACAACAGTTATTTAGTTTGCAATCATATATTTTGGAGTTCAAAAAAACTTGAGATAATTTCATTTTACTAATAAAGAAGATAAGCCCTGGAAAGCGAAAGTGACTTTTCCAAAGTCTCACACCACGTTAGTGGCTCAGCCAATGCCAGAGCCCAAGTATTTCCAGTTCAGATGTGTTTTTATTCTGGCATGTGGTTAAAATGCACCTTTGAGACTGAATTCAAGATCTGGCTTGTTTTGGATATTCAGACGTATGGGATTCAATGCCACATTTCAAACAAATCCCTTCCCATTTCAGCTACACAAATTGCTGATTAAACTAGGCTTAGAATAAAAGTTCTCGCAGGTGAATGTTTTTGTGCTGTCTGCAGTTATTTTGAAAGCTTTGGGAGGCATGACATTATGGCAATACTGTAATTAGTAAAATGCAGCTTCTCTTGGGTCTTTTACCTCAAGATGGTCTTCCAAGTCTTTTATTTTTGTCTGTGATTGGAAGCAGTTTGTAAACCCTGCTTATATCTGAGGGCTTCTAACTCTAGTTTACCACATAATGACTATAGTTTGCCAGGTCCATTGGTAGATCTGGTTACCGGGTTGTCCAAAAGCCACAAATGTTAGTATCATTTTAGTATAAATTGTATTGGAAGAGAAAGCTAAGGATAAATTATGCTTCCAAACTTTGTATTTTAGGGCTTATAAAAATTAGTCTTCTGGATCTTTAAATTATAGATTTCAGTCCCCATTCAACTGTATGAGTCTTTAATAGCTAACCTATTTTGGCTTTTTTATACACAAACTTAGAAATAGTTCGCCCTCTGAAGGGTAAATCTATATGCGACACACTTGGTGAAAAGCTATGATTGATGTCATAGTTAATAATTTAACAGATATTCTTTCACCTTTGCCTGCAGAAATTTCAGCTAGTCATTACACTCGGTTCTAGTCATTATCTCATAGAGTATGCACAACAATTCATTCAATGAGACTTCAACTCGGTAGTTAAAAATCTTAGTAATTGGATGGTTAAACTGATGATGTAATGACTGTAGAATTATACTAAAAAGCGAAGAAACCAACCTTTTATCCAATCTACCGTGTATGAGCTGGGTTTCCTGAATCAATGAGTAGTGATGTTGAGAATATGGGTTTTCGAGTAAGACTAACCTATCACTTACTTTTAGGTTATGACCTTGTACCAGCTATTAAATCATTTTAAACCTTAGTGTCTTTATCTGTAAAATGGAAAATTGTGTCTAGCTTGAAAAGTTTACTGTAAGGATTACATAATTTATATAAATATCTCAGCACTTTTGAATTTTTGCTATTACACTCAGGAGCCAGTAAGACATTCACAGAACTGGATTCTGAGGGTGCTGGGTCAGAGGAGTGGAACCAAATATTAGCTAAAAGAGAGTTTGTTAATTTGAGAACACCCTTCCATGTTACTGAATTTATCATTCATGCAAGGATCCTGGAATACTGTGAGGGAAGGCTGCTGAGAAGCCTCATAGACAATTAATTTTAAAATGTCACCCTACAAGAAGGCTGAAATTCCAGAATTGCCATGCAGCCACACAAGGAGAGATTAAAAGCCTCAAAGAAGAAGACATTCTGGATATACTATGAAAGGTGGAAAAACATACCAGATGATCATGATTCAGTGGGGACCCAGGGATATGACATTTATCAAAGAAATAAGAACAGCAGCTGTGAAGGGGTAACCAGCACCACACTGAAGTTTAGTGAGGGTATAAAATGTAGGCCAAAGCTGATAATAGGAAGGGCTATTGCAAAACTGGGCTCATTGATAAGAACAGGATAACAGGATTCTAAAAAAAATAAATCAAAGTCACAATCTGGTATTTATCAGAATTGCATCTCTCTTGATGCAATTCTCATATTGGGTGGCAAGGTCTCAGTGGCATTAAAGGAATTGTGACATGCAGAAAGTTAAGGAAATGGTCAATAGAGTATAGTATCCCTAAAGGCAAAACTGATGGACAGCAACACAGGTATCAGTTCTCAATAGATACAATAAATTAAAATTTAATCACAGATAGATGATTATGAGCCTATGGGTCTTTGCTCCTGTCTCTTGCCAAGTTTTCTGAGTAAAATTGTTATTAGACGCCTAGAACCCATGGCCTAAAAAAGAGTCCAGATCCACAGAATAAGGACTGTGCAGTGCCATTTTAAGTATCCATGAAAACAATTATCTCATTACTTCTGCAAAGGGAAAATGACTCCTTTATCCTGATATAATTGGCTACATTCATTTCTTAGGAGTTTGCAAATGTCAATTTGATCTACTTTTAAAAAAACGGTGCTATCTTTGTAAAATGAACAATACACAATGTTTAAGACAGAAAATTGAACATATACTGAAAACTCCAACTCTTACCTACGATGCCTAGCAATGATCAAATATACACAAAAATAAATGTGTACTTGAAAATACACACATATCCTTAATTCCAGATACAGAAAAAATATATGTTTAATGATTAGAAAGCACTGTGTATAATATTTTACATTTGAGTATCTAGATAAAGTAAAAATTGTATACGAAAATAAAATTTCATGAAATAACCTCAGGAAGAAATAACACATCTGAATTGACATACAAACATAGACAAAGTTTAAAAAGGCAGTCAAATGTTCTTACCTCTCACTCATCAAAATATACAAAAGGCCCAGATGTCTTATTTTTTGTTTGTTTGTTTGAGATGGAGTCTCGCTCTACTGCCCAGGCTGGAGTGCAGTGGCGTGATCTCAGCTCACTGCAATCTCTGCCTCCTGGGTTCAAGCCATTCTCTGCCTCAGCCTCCCAAGTAGCTGGGATTACAGGCACCCACCACCACACCCAGCTAATTTTTGTATTTTTAGTAGAGACGGGGTTTCACCATCTTGGCCAGGCTGTTCTTGAACTCCTGACCCCGTGATCCACCTGCCTCAGCCTCCCAAAGTTCTGGGATTACAGGCGTGAGCCACCACACCCGCCCCTCCCCCTCCCCCCCCCTTTTTTTTTAAATAGACTGGGTCTCACTCTGTCGCCCAGGCTGGCAGTGGCACGATCTCAACTCTCTGCAACCTTTGCTTCCCAGGCTCAAGCAATTTTCCAGCCTGAGCCTCCTGATTAGCTGGACCTATAGGTGCGAGACAGATTTCTACCAATCATTAAAACAACAACAACAACAAAATCATTTTCTACAAACCATTTCAGAGCATAAGAACAATATGTGAGACTACTCAACTCATGTTTTGAGACTAGTATAATCTTGGTATTAGACCTATAAAAAGAACAGCACATGAACAGGTAGCTATAGGCCAAACTCATTAGCTTAAAAGGAAAAGCAAATCCAAAATAAGGCATAACAAGCTGAATTCAGCAATGTATTAAAAAATACATTGCAACTGAAAAATCTTGACATCTGTATATTTGGAAGGAAGACTTTCTTTTTTTTTTTTTTTTTTTTTTTTTTTTTTTTTTGAGGCAGAGTCTCACTCTGTCATCCTGCTAGATAGAGTGCAGTGGCCCAATCATGGCTCACTGCAACCATTGCCTCATGGACTCAAGCAGTCTGCCTGCCTTCGCCTCCCATAGTGCTGGGATTATAGACATGAGCCACCACACTCAGTGAAACACTTTATTTCTTATAAAAGTTTATTAACGAAAGGTTTGTCATCCCACAGGCTGGGAAGTGCAGCATCTAGTAAAGCCTGAAAGGCACGCATTTCAAGAAAGGGGAAGGTGGAACAGGGATTTATGCTGAACAGGTTGGCCAATTATACATATTCAACAGGTTATAGAAGGAGCTATGAATATTCATAAAGGTGAATGTGTCCCATGTTCACCTTGGGGTGGAGACTTAATATTTAAATACATTGCAGTTAAGTTCTATACATCCAAAAGTGGAGCAGCGACACAAAGGCAATCAAGTGTGCAGCATCTCCAAACTGGCCAGAACCGGTCTGTGGTCCATAGTTTCTTACCTGAAGAAAATTACTGAACTCAATCGCTTATCCAATCAAAGCTGTAGTTATGGCTTGTGAAACAGGGAGTCAGTCAGTCAGCATGTGACCGTAAATGATGTGCAATTATTTTAATACTGCTTATCTCAAGGCCAGTGTTTGTGTAGCTGTCACAGAAAAAGAAAACCTTGTGTCAGTCGGAAGACAGTTTATTCTTCAAGTGTAGAAATGCATGACTTAACTCTTACCTGGCATGCTTTTATGCCTAATTTATAATTTAATATCTAATTGCCACAAACAGTTCATTCTGTCAGTCTTCTGATCTCCATCATTATTGCTGATCAGTTGTTGTGTCTAAACCGCAAGAAGGAAGGGTTATAATGAGGTGTGTCTGAGCTTCCATTCCATCAGAGCCTGAAACTCACTTTTTAAGGTTTTTTTGGGGACACCTCGGCCAAGAGAAGGTCCTTTAAGTCAGTTGGGGGACTTAGAGTTCTATTTTTAGGTCTCAACGTCATAACCAAGTAAGAAACATCTCATAATGCAAAGTGTTTTTTTAACTTTTATTTTAAGTTCAGGGCTACAGGGGCAGGTTTGTTACATAGGTAAACTTGTGTCATGGGGGTTTGTTGTACAGATTATTTCATCACCCAAGTTTTAAGCCTAGTAACTATTACTTATTTTTCCTGATCTTCTCCCTCCTCCCACCCCTACCCTCTGAGAGGCCCCAGTGTGTGTTGTTTCCTTCTATGTGTCCATGTGTTCTCATCATTTAGCTCCTAGAGAAAACACCAAATAATATTTTAATATTATAAAATGTAATTTTATTTACTTTATTAAAATTAAATCTATTCTATTAATCACTTACAGGAATAAATGTATTTGATCATTTCAAAAGATAGCCAAATAACAAGCACTTGATAATATGCAACCCCAATAAAAAATTTATAAAAAAAGAACTTTTAGCAAACTAGGCAAAGAAAGAAACTTACTTAGCAATGAAGGTGGGGTAAGTTAAACTGGACCATAAAACAAAGTAATGATCAAAATTATTTGAACATTTGATAAACTCGACCTCATATACACGTACACACACAAATACACATAGTGAAACAGAGACAAAGACAGAGTGATAACTCCACATGCTCAAAATAAAAAATGAAAATTCTTTTCAAGCACAGATGATATAGTTACAGAAAATTGATCATTCAGTAATAAACTAATGATGTCCAATTTAGAAGGATTTGGATCTACCAGAGTGCTTCCAGCGCTGGTGGCAGTGTAAACTGATAAAGCCACTTCTGGAAATTGCTTGCCAATAACTTGAAAAGATGAACATTCACCCATTCTGATTCCAAGCAATTTCATTTCTAGGTGTACTTTCAAGATAAAAGTTTATAGTTGTAGACTGTAAGATATGAGCAGGATGGTTTATAGCACAACTATTCTTAAGAGAAAAAAAGGGAAACATCCAAACTGCCCAATGACAGAAGAGTGGAGAAATAAGTGGCCATATTCAAACACAGCATTTTATACAGAAGATTCAATAAGTTAACGACAGTTACACATCATAATATAAATGAATCTTATTAACCTTATTGAGAGAATTAATTTTCAATTGGCTAGAGAGATATACAGCTATATCTTTCTGTCTATTTCCCATGCATAATCATCAACAGATTAAAAGTCTATAGAACTTAATATTTAACATTTGTATTCATAAAGATAAAAATGTAAAATCTAAGAAATAAGATAATGCAATACCTTTAAAGAGATAACTATAAAACTTTACCGAAAAACATAAATGAATACAGCAGGGAGTGAAGAGAAATACATTTGTTCCTGGATTTGGAATGCTGTTATGGTAAAGTTATAACCTCTCCTTGAGTTAATTATTTTTGAAATTTTTATTTTGATTTTTGTGGGTACATAACAGATGTATGTATCTATGTGGTACATGAGATGTTTTGATACAGGCATGCAATGTATAATAATCACATCATGTAAAATGGGATATCCATCCCTCAAGCATTTAATCTTTCTGTTACAATCTAATTACGCTCTTTATTTTAAAATGTACAGTTAAATTATTATTGACTATAGTCAACCTGTTGTGCAATCAGATAGTAGGCCTTATTCATTCTTACTATTTTTTATACCCATTAACCATCTCCACATCCCCCCACTGCACACTACCCTTCCCAGCTTATGGTCACCCTGTTTCTGCTCTCTATCTCCATGACTTTAATGGTTTTGATATTTACATCCAGCAAATAAGTCAGAACATGTGATGTTTGTCTTTCTGTGCCTGGTTTATTTTACTTAATATAATGACCTCCTATTCCATCCATGTTGTTGGAAATAACAGAATATCAGTCTTTTTTAATGGCTGAATAGTACTACATTGTGTATACGTACCACATTTTCTTTATCTAGTCATCTGTTGATGGGCATTTAGGTTGCTTTCCAACCTTAGCTATTGTAAACAGTGCTGTAACAAACACAGGAGTGCAGATATATCCTCAATGTACTGATTTCCTTTCTTCTGGGTATATGCCCCGCATTGGGATTGCTAGATCATACAGTAGCTGAATTTTTATCATTTTGAGGGACCTCCAGACTATTCTCCATAGTGGTTGTAGTAATTTACATTCCCAGCAACTGTGTACAAGGGCTCTATTTTCTCCACACCCTTGTCAGTGTTTGTTATTGCCCGACTTTTAGATGTAAGTCATTCTAAATGGGGTGAGATTATATCTCATTGTAGTTTTGATTTGCATTTCTCTGATGACCAGTGATGCTGAGCATCTTTTTATATGCCATTTTGCCATTTGTATGTTTTCTTTTGTGAATGTCTGTTCAGATATTTTGTCTATTTTTTAAATCAGATTATTATATGTTTCTTATAGAGTTGTTTGAGCTCCTTATATTTTCTGGTTATTAATCCCTTGCCAGGTGGGTAGTTTGCAGATATTCTCTCTCATTCTGTGGTTTGTCTCTTCAATTTGTTGATTGTTTCCATTGCTGTCCAGGAGCTTTTTAACTTAATGTGATCCCGTTTATTCATTTTTGCTTTGGTTGCCTGTGCCTGCGTGGTATTACTCAAGAAATTTTTGCCCAGACTAATGTTCTGGAGATTTTTGTCAATGTTTTCTTGCAGTAGTTTTCATAATTTGAGGCCTTAGACTTAAGTCTTTAATCCATTTTGATGTGAATTTTTTTTTTTTTTTTTTTTTTTTTTTGGAGACAGAGTCTTGCTCTGTCGCCCAGGCTGGAGTGCAGTGGCACGGTCTCAGCTCACTGCAACCTCCGCCTCCCAGGTTCACGCCATTCTCCTGCCTCAGCCTCCCGAGCAGCTGGGACTCCAGGTGCCCGCCACCACGCCTGGCTAGTTTTTTGTATTTTTAGTAGAGACGGGGTTTCACCATGTTGGCCAGGATGATCTCGATCTCCTGACCTCGTGATCCGCCTGCCTCGGCCTCCCAAACTGCTGGGATTATGGGCATGAGCCACTGCACCCAGCCTTGACGTGATTTTTGTATATGGTGAGAGAGAGGGGTCTAGTTTTATTCTTCTGCATATAGATATACAGTTTTCCTAGCACCATTTATTGAAGAAACTGTCTTTCCCACGGTGTATATTCTTGGCACCTTTGTCAAAAATGAGTTCACTGTAGGTGTGTGAATTTGTTTCCAGGTTTTCTACTCTGTTCCATTGGTCTATGTGTCTGTTTCTATGCCAGTACCATGCTATTTTGGTTACCATAGCTCTGTAGTATAATTTGAAATCAGGTAATGCAATTCCTCCAGTTTTGTTCATTTTTCTCAGGTTAGTTTTGTGTATTCTGGATCTTTCGTGGTTCCATATAAATTTTAGGAGAGTTTTTTTCTCTTTCTGTGAAGAATGTCATTGAAGTTTTGATAGGCATTGAATTGAATCTGTAGATTGCTTTAGATAGTATGGACATTTTAACAATATTGATTCTTCCAATCCATGTACAGGGAATATTTTCCATTTTTTAGTGTACTCTTTATTTTCTTTCATCCGTGTTTTATAGTTTTTATTATAGAGATCTAGTTAATTTCTAGGTATTTAATTTTATGTGTGGTTATTGTAAAAGGGATTACTATTTTATTTCTCTTTCAGATTGTTGGCATATAGAAATACTACTGATTTTTGTAGGTTGATTTTCTATCCTGAAACTACTAAATTTGTTATCATTTCTAATTTTTTTTTGGTGGAGTGTAGGTTTTTCCAAATATAAGATCATTATATTAGTCAGGGTTCTCTAGAGGGAGACAACTAATAGGATATATGTATATATGAAAGGGAGTTTATTAAGGAGAATTAACTCGCAGGATAACAAGTTGAAGTCCCACAATAGGCCGTCTGCAAGCTGAGGAGCAAAGAAACGAGTATTGGCTCAGTCCCCAAACCTCAAAAGTAGGGAAGCTGACAGTGCAGCCTTCAGTCTGTGGCCAAAGGCCCAAGAGTCCCTGGCAAACCACTGGTGTAAGTCCAAGAGTCCGAAAGCCGAAGAAAGTGGAGTCTGAGTTTCCAGGGCAGGAAGCATCCAGCAAGGGAGAAAGATAAAGGCTGGAAGACTCAGCTAATCTGCTCATTCCACCTTCTTCTGCTTGCTTTTTCTAGCTGTGCTGGCAGCCGACTGGAGAGTGCCCACACAGATTGAGGGTGTGTCTGCTTCTCCCAGTCCACTGACTCAAATGTTAATCTCTGGCAACACCCTCACAGACACACCCAGAAACAATACTTTGCATCCTTGAATCCAATCAAGTTAACACTTAATATTAGTCATCACAATTATATAATTTGCAAACAAGAATTGACTTCTTCTTTTCCAATTTTATGTCCTTTATATTCTTCTGTTGTCTGATTGCTATACTACAACTTCCAGTAGTATGTTGAATAATGGTGGTGACATTGGGCATCCTTGTTGTGTTCCAGATCTTAGTATGATACTAGTTGTGGGTCTGTCATAGATGACATTTATTAACTTGAAATATGTTTTCCCATACCCAATTTTTTGAGGATTTTTATTGTAAAAGGATGCTAAATTGTATCAAACATTTGTAAGCATCAATTGAAATTATCATATTGTTTTGTTTCATCCTTCTGTTGATATGATGCATTGCATTGGTTGATTTGCATATTTTGGGCCAACCTGTCATCCCAAAGATAAATCCCACTTGGTGAAGATAAATGACATTTTTAATGTGTTGTTAAATTTGATCTGCTAGTATGTTGCTGAGGATATTTTCATCAATAACCATGAGAGATATTGGCCTGTAGTTTCCTATTTTTAGTGTGTCTTTGTCTGGTTTTCACATCAGGTTAATACTTGCCTCCTAGAACGAATTGGGAAGTATTCACTTTTCCTTTATTTTTTGAAATAGTCTGAGTAGGATTTGGTAGAACTCAGAAGTGAAGCCTTCAGGTCCTGGGCTTTTTTTTACTGGGAGATTTTCTATAACAATTTTGCTCTTCTTATGTGTTGTTGGTCTGCTCAGGTTTTGGATTTTTCATGGTTCAATCTTGTTATATTGTATGTGTCCAGGAATGTGTCAATTTCTTCTGTGTTTTCCAGTTTATCGGCATATAGTTGCTAATAGTAATCCCTAATGATCCTTTGAAATTCTGCAGTGTCAGATTTAATGTCTCCTCCACTCCCTGGCAGCTGCGGCATGGTGCAGAGACGGTCTCTGGGCACTGGGGGAGGGAGAACACTGAAACTGTGAGGTATTGAATTTCAACTTCCTGCTGTCCTGTTAGAGCAGAAAAGAAAACTGGACCAAACTCAGCTGACACCCACCCACTGAGGGAACACTTAAATTAGCCCTAGCAAAAGGAGAACTGCCAACAGGGATATGAACTTGAATTCCCACAAATCTTGCCACTAAGGGCCACTATGTCTATAAGTAATCCTGAAAAGCAGTTTATCTCATGCATCCCAGAAATAGATAAACCTACTATGTAACCACAAAAACTGAAAATTTAAAAATAAAAAAAGAAAGAGATATTCTGCCATATGCCACAATGAGGATGAACCTTGAGGACATTATACAAAGTGAAATAAGCCAGACAAATGCTGTATGATTCCTCTTACATGAGGTATCGAAAGTAGTAAAAATAGAAACAGAGGAGCTTGGGCTGGGGGAAAAAGGGAGTTCTTTCTTGGGTATAAAGTTTCAGATTTGCAAGATGAAGAAATTCTGGAGATCGGTTGCACAATAAGGTCCATGTAGATAACACTAATCAATTATACACTTGAAAGTGATTCACATGGTAAATATTATGTGTTTTTTTTCCCACACCTAAAAATATATAGTTTTAAAAAGAGTTAGGCCAATTTTGAGAAAGACGAAGTGGAGGAGAGGAATACACCTTCCCAGGTCTCAAAACATATAATAAACTTAAAGTAAGTAAAACACTGTAGTAATTTTTTAAGAAGAGAAAAACAGACATGGGCAATTGAATTTCACAGAACATTAGATATAAAGTGATTCAGATGTATGTAGGGTTTTAGTTTAAGATAAAGTAGCATTTAACATTAGCAGAGAAAATTAGTAAGTAGTAAAATAGTTGAGGCAATTTGTTATCTATTTTAAAAAATATTTCTTTCTTTACATCATTGATTAATGTTAATTTCAGATGGATAAAATATTTAATACAAAAAGAAAGTTACGTTTTATTAAATAGAATTAGAATTTTGAGAAAATATGGAGAATATATTCATAATCTTGGATGCCGAAGCTTTCTTAAGCGGGACTCAAAAAGCAAAACCTGTGAAAATCAATACTGTTTAATTTCTTATGTCAAGATTAAGTGCATTCTACATGACAAAAACAGCATAAGCAAATTTTTAAAATCACAAGAAAATATTTTCAACACATATAAATATGAGAATTAACATTTACAATGCATAAATTTTACAAAAAAAGGATAAGAAAAATTTAAGTATTAAATAGAAAAAAATGACAAAGTATTTGAGTAGACAATTTTCCAAAGCTAATACAAATGAATAATTAAAACATGGTGAATCTTACTGGTAATCCAAGAAGTACACAGTGAAAAGCAAACAAGTAAGCAAACAAAAACAGTAAAATTCAATTTTTCATCTGTCAGAATGATTTTTTTAAGTACAAATGTTAAGTATTGACCAAGTAAAGAGAATTGGGTTCTCATCTAAAATAATGCTGCAAATTAGTATTGATATATTGGAAGACAATATAAGTGTAAATGTTGCATACTATGATACAGTCTTTTTACTTCTCAAATTCCTGTCTGGTGATGTTAAACTGGCATGTGGCATGTCCGTATTACACTATTTATTTATTCATTTGCTTGTTTATTTATGTATACACACACATACACACACACACACACACACACACACACACATATATATGTGAATGTTTACCTGAGTTACAGGATCAGTTGTACCCCAAAACTCAGCATCACAAGGTATACCCATGTAACAAACCTGCATATGTACCCCCGAATCTAAAATAAAAGTTGAAATTTTAAAATAGTAATAAAATTAAAATTATTAAAACATATAGATGAATAATACATTAAGATTTTGAAATATTAGAATCATCATCTCTCACCTTATAAACAGACAATTCAAGATGGATCAAAGACTTAAATCTAAGACCTGAAACCATGGAAATTCTAGAAGATAACATTGGAAAAACTGTTCTGAACATTGGCCTAGGCAAATAATTCATGACTAAGACCACAAATGTAAATCCAAGAAAAACAAAAATAAATAAGTAGGACCTAATTAAACTAAAAAGGTACTGCACAGCAAAAGAAATAGGAGAGTAAACAGACAAGGCACAGAATGAGAGAACATATTTGCACACTATGCATCTGAGAAAGGACTAGCATCTATAATCTACAAGAAATTCAAATAAATCAGGAAGAAAAATAAAATAATTCTATCAAAGAGTGGGCAAAGGACATGAATAGACATTTCTGGAAAGAAGACACACAAATGGCCAAGAAATACATGAAAGGAAGCTCAACACCACTAATCATCAGGGAAATGCAAATTAAAACCACAATGAGATACTACTTTAGTCCTGCAAAAATAGCCATACTTAAAAAGTCAAAAAACAACAGATGTCGGCATAGATTTGGTGAAAAGGGATGCATTTTCACTGCTGGTGGGAATGTAAAGTAGTACAACCTCTATGGAAAACAGTATGGAGATTCCTTAAAGAGCTAATAGTAGATCTACCATTCATTCCAGGAATCCCACTGCTGAGTATTTACCCAAAGAAAAAGAAGTTGTTATATGAAAAAGACACAGGCACATGTATGTTTACAGTAGCACAAATCACAACTGTAAATATATGGAACCCACTTAAGCACCCATTGACCAAGGAGTGGATGAAAATTTTGTGATATATATACACCATGAACTACTACTCAGCCATAAAATGTAACAAAATAATGTATTTTGCAGCAACTTGCATGGGGCTGGAGGCCATTATTCTAAGTGAAGTAACTCGGGAATGGAAAAGCAAATACCTAATGCAGTCATTTATAAGCAGGAGCTAAGCTGTGAGGATGCAAAGACATACAAAGAGGTATAATTACTTTGGAGATTCAGAAGGGGAAGGGTGGGAGGAAAGTGAGGGATAAAATCTACATATTGGGTACAACGTGATGTACCCAATAGGTGTAGGGTGTTGAGTGCACTAAAATCTCAGACTTAATGGGTGTACTAAAATCTTAGACTTTACCACTCTAGAACTCATCCATGCAACCAAACACTACTTGTACCCCAAAAGCTATTGAAATACTAAAAAATAATAAAAGGAAAAGGAAAAAGTAAAAACAAAAAACAAAAACAAAAACAAAAAATATGATAAAATTAAAATTTATCTTTATATGCATACATTTTTTAACCTGTTTAAAGTGAAAGTATCATAAAAGTTATATAAAGCAAAAAAATAATAGAAAGAATTCAAACACCCATTGCCATGTGAACTGATAGATAACCTCTAGTATAGTCCAGGCTATAAAATATGTTGCAGCAGTTAAAATATAAAACAAAGTAGATATTCCATGAAATGGAAAGTTCTCAATGACGTTGTAATTGACACTAGCAAACTGAATAATCACATAACGTGATGAGGAAAACAGAAAGTCAAATTGTCCCTGTTTGCAGATGACATATTGTATATCTAGAAAACCCCACCGTCTCAGCCCAAAATCTCCTTAAGCTGATAGGCAACTTCAGCCAAGTCTCAGGATACAAAATCAATGTGCAAAAATCACAAGCATTCTTATACACCAATAACAGACAAACAGAGAGCCAAATCATGAGTGAACTCCCATTCACAATTGCTTCAAAGAGAATAAAATAGCTAGGAATCCAACTTACAAGGGAAGTGAAGGACCTCTTCAAGGAGAACTACAAACCACTGCTCAATGAAATAAAAGAGGATAGAAACAAATGGAAGAACACGGCCATACTGCCCAAGGTAATTTATAGATTCAATACCATCCCCATCAAACTACCAATGACTTTCTTCACAGAATTGGAAAAAACTACTTTAAAGTTCATATGGAACTAAAAAAGAGCCCGCATTGCCCAGTCAATCCTAAGCCAAAAGAACAAAGCTGGAGGCATCACGCTACCTGACTTCAAACTATACTACAAGGCTACAGTAACCAAAACAGCATGGTACTGGAACCAAAACAGAGATATAGACCAATGGAATAGAACAGAGCCCTCAGAAATAATGCCACATATCTACAACGATCTGATCTTTGACAAACCTGACAAAAACAAGAAATGGGGAAACAATTCCCTATTTAATAAATGGTGCTGGGAAATTGGCTAGCCATATGTAGAAAGCTGAAACTGGATCCCTTCCTTACACCTTATACAAAAATTAATTCAAGATGGATTAAAGACTTAAATGTTAGATGTAAAACCATAAAAACCCTAGAAGAAAACCTAGGCAATACCATTCAGGACACAGGCATGGGCAAGGACTTCATGTCTAAAACACCAAAAGCAATGGCAACAAAAGCCAAAATTGACAAATGGGATCTAATTAAACTAAAGAGCTTCTGCACAGCAAAAGAAACTACCATCAGAGTGAACAGGCAACCTACAGAATGGGAGAAAATTTTTGCAACCTACTCATCTGACAAAGGGCTAATATCCAGAATCTACAAAGAGCTCAAACAAATTTACAAGAAAAAAACAAACAACCCCATCAAAAAGTGGGCAAAGGATATGAACAGACACTTCTCAAAAGAAGACATTTATGCAGCCAACAGACACATGAAAAATGCTCATCATCACTGGCCATCAGAGAAATGCAAATCAAAACCACAATGAGATATCATCTCACACCAGTTAGAATGGCGATCATGCAAAAGTCAGGAAACAACAGGTGCTGGAGAGGATGTGGAGAAATAGGAACACTTTTACACTGCTGGTGGGACTGTAAACTAGTTCAATCATTGTGGAAGTCAGTGTAGCGATTCCTCAGGGATCTAGAACTAGAAATTCCACTCGACCCAGCCATCCCATTACTGGGTATATACCCAAAGGATTATAAATCATGCTGCTATAAAGACACATGCACATGTATGTTTATTGCGGCACTATTCACCATAGCAAAGACTTGGAACCAACCCAGATGTCCAACTATGATAGACTGGATTAAGAAAATGTGGCACATATACACCATGGAATACTATGCAGCCATAATAAATGATGAGTTCATGTCCTTTGTAGGGACATGGATGAAGCTGGAAACCATCATTCTCAACAAACCATCACAAGGACAAAAAAACCAAACACCGCATGTTCTCACTCATAGGTGGGAATTGAACAATGAGAACACATGGACACAGGAAGGGGAACATCACACACCCGGGCCTGTTGTGGGGTGGGGGGAGGGGGGAGGGATAGCATTAGGAGATATGCCTAATGTTAAATGACGAGTTAATGGGTGCAGCACACCAACATGGCACATGTATACATATGTAACTAAACTGCATGTCGTGCACATGTGCCCTAAAACTTAAAGTATAATAAAAAAAGAATAAAAAACAAATACATACATAAAACAATGCTATATTTTCTACTAGTTAATGCATGTAAATGCACAGTATAATTATCAGCAAGTTTATGTACACAACAAAAAGAGCAAATTTCTCTAGCAAATTTCTTTAGAGTAACAGGGTACCTTAGGAGGAATATTTAAGGTAATGTGGTGGGGGTAAAGTAGGACTTTTTTCTGTGAAATTTGAATATTTTATATTTTTCAATCCACTTGTGTAAATAAAAATTAATCTAAATTTAGGAAACAAATCAAATCATGTCCTTTATTTCAATGTTTACAGGCAGGCAGGGATAAAAGGATGAAAATGATCTCATGTCTGACATTTGAAAGAATGAACCTCTTAAGCCACATACCATGAAGCATTTTGGAAAATTATTCTTTTGGCTTTTTTCCCCTTTTTAGCTTTATTTTTTTATTTTTATTTTTTTTTATTTTTGAGACGGAGCCTTCCACTGTGGCCCAGGCTGGAGTGCGGTGGCGCGATCTCGGCTCACTGCAAGCTCCGCCTCCCGGGTTCCACACCATTCTCCTGCCTCAGCCTCCCGGGTAGCTGGGACTACAGGTGCCCACCACCACGCCCGGCTAATTTTTTGTACTTTTAGTAGAGACGGGGTTTCACCGAGTTAGCCAGGATGGTCTCGGTCTCCTGACCTTGTGATCCGCCTGCCTCGGCCTCCCAAAGTGCTGGGATTACAGGCATGAGCCACCCCGCGCCCGGACGGACCCTTTTTAGCTTTTACCATGATTATTATTTTGAGTAGCTTTTGAATGTAGGAGAGGGTTAGTAATTTTATCAGAAATTGGTCAATTGAATTGAGATTTTCAAATGCACATCATAACACTCATTGCTATAACTGAGGATAATTATTGTAATAGAGTTGAGGGTATGAGCTCTGTAGTCAATGAATTTAGAATCACTGGCTCTGTCTCTTATAAAACTGTGTGATCCCTATAAAATTATGTAACCTTTTTATTTGCCTCCTCTACAAAATGAGGATAATCTTATCAACTATTAAGTTATAAAGTGAGCATGTACTGATAGTGTTTGTGTAGGGCCTATCATAGTACTTTAATATTATTACTCTTATTATATCGCAGGTTCACTCTGTCTTGATTTTTTATTTCAAATGTCTGTATAAGGTATTAGCAATTTCAAATTATTATGTCCAGTAATCCAAGATGTATTTGTCAACATTACTGTTTTTTTCTAATTCGTTGCCTAAGTTATTTTTTATCAAAATTGTTTGAGTTGAATATTAAGCTAATTTACTTCTGTTCTTTCTTATTTAATAATACAAACATTGATGGTTGTAAATTTTTCTTTCTTTTGTTGGCCATATTTAAGCTTGCTATGTGGAATCATTTTATACATAGATTTAACTTACAGATTCACTGCCTTTAAATATTATTTTATCTTAATTGTAGTTTGGGGAGAAGTTTTTTGTTGTTGTTTAGCTTTGTAAGTAATTGGGTTTAAATGTGTTTTAACGTTGATTTCTAACTTTGTTGCATTTTGATCATAGAGTATGATCTTCTTACTTCGTGATTTTAAAAACATATTGAGTTTACATTTTGATAATGGATGTAATCTATTTTAATTAGACCTAACGTTTAGAGTAGTTTTTAGGCTCACAAAACATTGAGGGCGAAAGGCACAGAGATTCCCCATATACCTCTTTCCCCACAGCCCCAGCCACCCCACTACCAATATCCTTAACCAGAATGGTACATTTGTTACAATCGTATACCTACATTGACACATTATTATCACTCAAATTCCAGAGTTTACGTCAGGGTTCACTCTTGGTTTTGTACAATCTATGGGCTTTGACAAATGTATGATGACATGTATCCATCATGATAGTATCATACGGAGCAGTTTCACTATCCTAAAAGCTGTCTGTACTCCTGCTATTTAGCCCTTCCTCATCCTAGCCCCTGGAAACCACTTACTCTTTTACGGTATCCGTAGTTTTCCCCTTTTGAGAACGTCATACAGTTGGAATTGTACAGTATATAGCCTTTTCAGATTGCTTCTTTCACTTGGTTACAAGCATATAAAGTTTCTCCATGTTTTCTCATGACTTGGTAGCTTCTATCTTTTTATTGCTGAATAATATTCTGTTGTCTGGATGTACCATAGTTTACCAATTCACTAACTAAAGATACCTTGGCTGCTTCCAAGTTTTAGTAATTGTTCATTAGGCTGCTATAATGCATTTGTGTGTAGTTTTTTTTTTAATGAAAAAAAGGTTTTAATTCATTTGGGTGAATACCAAAGAGCATGATTGCTGGATTGTATAGCAAGGCTATATTTAATTTGTAAGCAACTACCAAACTGTCTTCCAACATGACTGCACCATTTTCCAATTCCAATAATAAATGAGAGTTCTTGTTGCTCTACATCCTTTCCAGTATTTGGCACTGTCAGTGTTTTGAGTTCAGACCACTCTAATAAATAGGTAGTGGTATCTCATTGTTGTTTTAATTTATATTTCTCTAATAACACATGATATCGAGTATATTTTTATATGCTATTTGCCATCATCTGTACATCATCTTTTGTGAGGTGTCTGTTCAGGTCTTTTGCCCATTTTTAATCGAGTTGTTCATTATTTATTGGTGATTTTAAAAACTCCTTATATTTTGGATAACAGTTGACTATTTTATGTCTTTTACAAATATTTTTCCCTCAGTCTTTGGTTTGTCTTCTTCTTTTTACAGCATCTTTCACAAAGCAAAAGTTTTTAATTTAAATAGAGCCCAACATATCTATTATTTCTTTCATGAATCATTTCTTTGGTGTTGGCTCCATCACCATACCCAAGGTCATCTATATTTTTTCTTTGCTATCTTCTAGGAGTTTTATAGTTTTGCATTTAGCATTTAGGTCTGCAGTGCATTTTGCATCTCTCCTTATGAATGGTTTGAGGTTTACATGTAAATTGATTTTTTTTTTTTTGCATGGGGATGTCTAGCTTTTCTGATAACATTAAAAAAAAAAGACAATCTTTGCTCTCTTGTATTGCCTTTATGCTTTTCTCAAAGATCAGTTGACTATTTTTATGTGGTCCTATTTCTGGATTCTCTATTCTGCTTCACTGAATTATTTTTAGATGTTTATTCTAATACCAGACTATCTTGATTAATGCAGATTTTCACTGACTTTTGAAGATTAATAATGTCAGTTACTTGAATTTCTTATCCTTCAAAACTGAATTAATTAAATTTGTTATTTGCCTCTCCATATAAACTTTTGAATTAGCTCAACTATATCTACAGAAATAACTTACTTGGATTTTGTTTGGAATTGTGTTAAATTTATAGATCAAGTTGCAAGGAATTGGTATCTTGATGATATTTAGTTTTACTATCTATAAGCATGGAGTATCTCTCCCTTTATTTAGTTTTCTGTTGATTTCTTACATCAGAGTTTAGTAGTTTTCCTCATATAGATCTTGTACATATTTTAGATACATACCTAAATATTTTATTTTGAGGACTGGTAATGCAAATTGTAAAGTGTGTTTAAATGCAAATTCCAGTTGTGCATTGCTAGTATATAAGAAAGTGGTTGACTTTTCTTGTTAACCTTGTATCCTGCAACCTTTGCTATAATTGCTTATTATTAGGTGGGTGCAAAGGTTCTTGCGATTTTTGCCATTGGAAGTAACGCCAAAAGCTGAAATAACCTTTTCACCAACCTATAGTTCCAGGCGTTTCTGGTCTTGTTTTGTTTTACTTTGGGTTTTTTTGGTCAAATATTTCAGGTTTTCTGCACAATCCTGTTATCTGCAAACAAAGACGGTTTTGTTTCATTTTTCCTGACCAATATACTTTTATTTCCCTTTATTGTTTTACTGCATTGGGGAGGACTTCCAGTACAATGTTGAAAAAGAGTAGTGAAAGGGGAAATACTTACTCTATTCATGAACTTAGCAGGGAAACTTCTAGTTTCTTGTCATTAGGTAGATTTTTATCATTAAGTATGATGTTAGCTGTAGGCATTTTTGTAGATGTAAAGAAACACACATAATTTGCTGATAGTTTTTGTCATGAATGGGTATTGGATTTTGTCAAATGCTTTTTCTGTTGTCTATTGATTTGATCATGTACTCTTTCTTCTTTAGCTTGATGATATGATGGCATTACTTGACTTTCAAATATTGAACCAGCCTTGTATAGCTAGAATAAATCACACCTGAACATTGTGTATAATTATTTTATACATTGTTGGATTTGTTAATATTTTCTTGAGGATTTTTGCACCTATGTGCATGAGAAATATGTGTTGTAGTTTTTATTTCTTCTAATATATTTGTCTGGTTTTGGTATGAATGTAAAGACTGCCTCATTGAGTCAGAGAGTATCCTCTCTTATTCTATGTTCTGGAAGAAATTGTAGAGAACTGATATAATTTATTCCTTAAATTTGGTATAGTTCACCAATGAACCTATCTGGTCCAGTGATTTCCATTTTGAAAGATTGTTAATCATTGATTCAATTTCTTTAACACATATGTAGGTCTATTCAAATTTATTATTCCTTCTTGTGTGAGTTTTGGCAGATTGTGTCTTTCAAAGATTTGGTCCGATTCTCTAGGTTATCAAATCTAGGTGGACATAGAGTTGTTCATAATATACCTTTATTATTATTTTTATATCTGATCTGAATGGTTTCTAGTAATATCCTCTCTTTCACTTCTGTAATTAGTAATTTGTGTTTTCTCTCTTTTTTATTAGTTAGCCTGGCTAGAGGCCTATTGATATTTATTGACTTTTTCAAAGAATTGGCTTCTGCTTTTGTTAATTTTTCTCTATTAATTTCCTGTTTTCAATTTATGTACTTCTTAATTTTTATTAGTTCTTTTATTCTGGCTACTATGAAATTAATCTGCTCTTATTTTTGTTGTTTCATAAGGTTGTTTATATTATTAATTTTAGATATTTCTTTTTTCTAATTATGCATTCAATGCTATAAATTTTCTTCTAAGCACTGCTTTCACAGCATCCCACAAATTTTGATAAGTTGTATTTTCATTTTTATTTTGTTCAATTTTTTTTCATTTCTTTTGATTTTTTTCTTTGACTCGTACTTTGTACATGTATGTCGTTTAATCTCCAAATATTTTGCAATTTTCTAACTATCTTTTCGTTATTGACTTCTAGTTTCATTCAATGTGGTCTGGGAGAAGATACTTTATGAATTTTAATCTATTACATTTGTTAAGATGCATTTTATGGCCCAGAATATGGTCAATATTGGTGAATGTTCCATGTGAACTTGGGAAGAAATGGTATTCTCTTGCCGGTAGATGAAGTAGTCAATAGATGTGAATAATACTCGATTGCTATAATTGAGTTTATTTGTGTTCTTACAGATTTTCTGCCTGCAGAATCTGTCTATTTCTGATAAAGGTTGTTGAAGTCTTCAACTGTAATAGTGGATTCATCTATTTCTCCTTGCCTTTCTCAGTTTTTGCCTCATGCATATTGATGCTCTGTTATTAAGTACATACACATTGACAATTTTTATGTTTTTGTGAACTGACCCCTGTATCATTATGAAAGTCCTTTTTTATCCTGATAACTTTGCCCAGAAATATTCTCTGTCTGAAATGAATATAGCCTCCACTGCTTTCTTTCGACTAGTGAATAGCATGGCATATTTTTCTCCTTCTATTATGTTTAATTAATATGTCTTAATATTTATACTGGGTTTTTTGTATAGACTGTATTATTGGGTCTTGTTTTTCCCTCCATTCTGACAATGTCTACCTTTTAATTGGTGTTTACACCGTTGCTATTTAAAGTGGTTATTGATACAGTTAGTGTTATGAACCGAATTGTATCCTCCCAAAATTTATATTTTGAATGAATGTTTGTATCTATGATCATGATGTTAACCTTCAATGTGACTGTATCTGGAGATGAGTTTTCTTAATAGGTAATTAAACTTAAACGAGGTCATGAGGGTAGAGCTCTTATCTGACAGGACCTTGGTCTTATAAGCCTAGGAAGAGAGAGAAATCTCTCTCTCTTTCTCTGCCATGTGAGGAAACAGTGAGAAGGCGGACATGTGCAAGCCAGGAAGAGAGTCTACAGTTGAATCCAACAAACCTGGTACCCTAAACTTAAAGTTTCTGCCATTTCTGGTGTCTAAGCTACCCAGCGTATGGTATTTTGTTGGGTCAGCCTAAGCTAAGGCGGTTTATTTAATATCTACCATGTATGTTATTGTGTTCTATTAATTGCCTTTGTTCGTTGTTCTTATTTTTGTTTTCCACTCTTTTTCTCCCTTTCGTGGTTTTGAATTTTTATAAAATTTAATTTCCCCTCTTTTCTTAGCACATCAGTTATACTCTTTAAAACAAAACAAACATTTTTTGGTTGCCTTACAGTTTGCCATATAAATTTACAACTAATTCATGTACTGTGAATGGATTATACATAAGCATACAAAACAGAATATATTGTTATTATTGTTTTGAACAAATTGTCTGTTATAGCAATTAAGAGATTTTAAAAAGTGTTTATTTTACCTTCACTTATTCTTTCACTGAAGTGCTTCTTTTATTTATATTCAAGGTTCTCATTGATATTATTTTCCTTCTCGCTGATAAATTTCTTTTAATATATCTTGCAATATCAACTAACTGGCAACAAATTTCCTCAATTTTTATCTGAGAAAGTCTTTAGTTCTCCTTTCCTTTTGAAGGATACATTCACAAGATATAGAATTCTAGGTTGGTGTTTTTCTTCTCTTAACATTTTAAGTATTTTACTCCACTCTATTCTTACTTGCATGGTTTCTGAGGAGACATCAGATATAATATTCGCCATTGCTTTTCTATAGGTAAGATGTCTTTTTTTTCTCTCTCTGAATACTTCCAATATGTTTTCCTCAGATTTAATTTCCTGTAGTTTGAATATGATATTCCCAGGTGTAGTTTTCGGTATTTATTGTACTAGGCATTCTCTGAGCTTCCTGGATCTATTATTTGGTGTCCGATTTTAATTTGGAAAAATTGCCAGCCATTGTTGCTTCAAATATTTCTTGTGTTCCTCGCTCTTCTTCTTCCCCATCTAGTGTTCCTATTACGCAGAAGTTTCACCATTTCAAGTTGTCTCATAGATCTTGAATATGATGTTGCGTTTTTTTTTATTTCAGTCTTTTATTCTCATTTATTTTTTATCATTTTGGACATTTGTATTGAAATAGCCTGAAGCTCAGAGATTATTTCCTCAACTGTATTGAGTCCACTAACCAAAGGCATTCTTAATTTCTGTTATGGTGGTTTTGATCTCTAGTATTTCCTTTTGATTCTTTATTAACATTTTCATCTTTCTGTTTACATTGCTAATCTCACCTCCATACTATGTATTTTATTCATTAGAACCCTTAGGATGTTAATCATAGTTGCTTTAAATACTCAGTCTAATAATTCCAACATCCCAGCTGTATCTGGGTCTGGTTCTGATGCTTGCTCTGTCTCTTCAAGCTGTGTTTTTTTCCTCTTTTGTATATCTTGTAATTTTTTTTTGATAGCCAGACGTGATGCACAGAGTAAAAGAAACTGATAAATAGGCGTTTAGTAATGTTGTGGTAAAATGTGGGAGGAGGGGAGCATACTATAATCCCCTGATTAGGTCTCAATCTTTTAGTGAGTTTGTGCTTCTGGATGGTAAAATTTTCAAGTGCTTCTCAGTTGTCCCCCTCACTTAGGTGAGACAAGATGTCTAGAGGGGGCTAGAGTTGCATATTCTACCCACAGATGAGTTCGGCTTTGAAAAAACCATGTAGTTTATGTTCTGGTAATATTGTTTATATTAAAGGCAGGCCTTGTTAAGAATAACAAAGTGGTCTGATGTATTTCAAAATGGTTGCATTTCTCCTCTTCCTGCCAGAAGCATGAGTGGACTTTTCTGGAATATTCCCTGTGAGAATCTGTATGAGCTCCTGGAAGTAAAACTCACAAGTGTGGGGATTGTCTTGTAACTAAGCCTCCATGAAGTCTTTTTGTTTGTTTGTTTGTTTGTTTGTTTTTTGAAATGGAGTCTAGCTGTGTCGCCCAGGCTGGAAGTAGTGCAGTGGCGCGATCTCGCCTCACTGCAAGTTCCGCCTCCCGGGTTCACGCCATTCTCCTGCCTCAGCCTCCCGAGTAGCTGGGACTACAGGCGCCCGCCACCACGCCCAGCTAATTTTTTGTATTTTTAGTAGAGACAGGGTTTCACCGAGTTAGCCAGGATGGTCTCGATCTCGTGACCTCGTGATCCGCCGGCCTCGGCCTCCCAAAGTGCTGGGATTACAGGCGTGAGCCACCACGGCCGGCCGAAGTTTTTAACTCTCAGTCTTGCCCACACCAAACCTTCAGAAATTTATCAATTACAGTTGAGTTTCTCTTATCCCAGTAATGATTCTCATGAAGTGTCCACTTCATGGGTTTCTCTTCCAGTAAGTTGTGATGCTCTGTATTTACTTGTCTGTCTCTCCAATTTGGGGACAGCAGTTTGCCCTGTAACCTCACTTTTCTGACCAATCTAAGTAAAGTTGTTATTGCAGCTTGTTCAGCTTTCTACTTGCTAGAGTGGAAATATGACTTCTAAGCTTCTTGTATGTTGGATTGGAAACCAGAATTTGATGTAATCCATTTTTATAAAGGACCTATGGATAACTGGATGTCACCTACTTTTCTCCCAGAATTTTTTCTTTTATAATTTTTGTACGAGTTCTCTCAATATTAATTGCACCCATAATTTTATTATAATTTTATATATAGATAAATGGAAAGAGAGAGAACGCGTGAGAGTAAGTGCACTTGTGTTTTCCCTAATTTGGTGCTTGCCTTTTATTTTTTGTTTTTCTTGCTTGCAAAATTTTCAAATAATTGAGTTGGCCAATCTGTCACTGTGTTTTTCCTTATATCAGTAATTTTTGAGCAGTGGACATATTGAAGTAGGACTCCTAAATGAGCAAAGGAATATTCAATCTAATATGTGGTTTGAAAAAGTATGCCTAATAATAAAGTAATTATGCAGTTTGGAAATTTTTTTAAAAAACATTGCCTTCATAATACAAACTATTGAAGAACAATTCAATACAAACTTAGCTGGTAGAAATACAACAAAATATAAACAATGATTCTTAAGAGGGATATGTCACCTATTGAATACTAGGAGATTCTGTAAAGGGAAGAGATGATTGACACTGATTTATAAAGGGATAAAATGGCTGAAAAAATTTGTTTATGGACTCTTTATTTGATTATGTACTTAGAAAGTTAACCCTTACCCTGAGGTCAGATAACTATTATTTTCTAAGTATCAGAAAATGAGGTTGCAGAATCTAAGTTGCAAAATAAACATTTTCTTGAATAGATACGAAGTATTTTTACACAACTGATGAAAACATTGAACAATTGGGTCTCCAAAAGGGAATGAACTAAATTATCTTTTCTCTTTTCCTTGTAAACTGCAAAATGTTTAAGTTTTTTTCATTCAATATATTTCAAGCATCTCTAATAACCATTTGGCTTTTCCTTGCATTGAATATACATTTTAAAATTATAAGATTACTTTTTTATCGTCTTCTCCTTCTCCTTTTCCTCCTCCTCCTCCCCCTCCTCCTCCTCCTCCTTCTTCTTCCTCCTTCTCTCTTTCTCTCTCTCTCTCTGTGTGTGTGTGTGTGTGTGTGTGTGTGTGTGTGTGAACTTCAACAAATCCCCTTAAGTATCTCTGATATCTTGGCAGCATGTTATGGTTTTGTGGTATTTCATAGACAACATGTTTTCTTGTCATGCATTAAGGATGCCCATGAGTTCTAAAAATATTTTACTTCTAGACCTGCATTAAATGATTTTAAAAAGCATATGGGATATTTCAGGTGAAATTCTATTTCTTTGGTTCTGTATTGTTTTATCGGAGACCTAAAGTAGTGTTCTTTCTGTTTATTCAATGTGAAATAAGACGATATCTATACATATTCAATGCTAATCAATGGATAGCATGTGTGGTGTGTGCTTTCCCTTGGCTCTACTCACTTTCCCATGGATAGTTTTGCCAGATAATCTGAACTGAAATATTGTACTTTAAAGTTTATGGTCTCATATAAAAGCAAATAAGCAGAATAATGAATTTTAAAATGCTAGAGTAAGAACATTTGCATGCAATGCACAACAAAACATGTCTAACTGGAAAAAGCTTAGCTATTACAATCAGATTTAAAATTTACACCTGGCAAACTTTACACTTGGATTTTGGTAGAATACTCTTGGCACATCTGTAACCAAATGACAGATGGGTGTGCATAGGAGCTGGCCCAATTTACAGTAAATGTTCTAGTGTATCTTATTCGTTTTGGGATGTTTGTGGATAGCTAATTAATTAATTTTTAAAATTATATTGACTTGAAAACTGAAAAAAAATTATTTTTACAGTGTACAAGATTATGTTTTGATATGTGTATACATTGTGAAATGACATAATCAAGCTAATTAACATATCCATTACTTCACATACTTATGTTTTTTGTAATGAGAACATTTAAAATCTACTCTCTTAGAATTTTGCAAGTATGCAATTTATTATTATTTGCTATAGTAACCAGGGTGTACAATAGGTCTCTAGAACTTATTTTTTTTGTGTAACTAAAACTATGTATCCTTTAATCAACATCTCCCCATTTTCCACCCACATCCCCAACCACTGGTAACCACCATGCTATTCTCTGCTTCTATAAGTTTGATTTTTTGAATTGAGTCAGAATAGTTATCTATGTCCATCATCTCTTTCAAACCCAAACAATCATATGCAACCCAATAGTCCTCCAACCTATGGTGACACCAGGGTTCTTTCTATCTCTATCCTGTCCATTGCAATTTTAGAGGTGCTCATTAACCCCTTTCAGAAGCAATAAATAGTTATTACTCTTCTCAACTTCCTACTTTATCTTTTGTGAATGGTGGTACTTCACTCTGTGGGGAAGAACTAAAAGATGCAAGAGGAAAGGCACAGCAATCTGACTATTGCCAAAAGTTACATCCATAGGCACTGGCTTCCAGTCATGACAATGTATCTGAAACCTTTCATCCAACTGCAAATAAGTACAAAATTTGATAAAATATATGGAAGAATTTAATTTGGCTGATATTGTTCATTGAATGAACCACAATTTTGCCACAATGAAAAACAAATTTGTAAAGCGTCTATCAGTTGATGTGAAAATGTGAAATAATGAATAGAATATATGCTGACACATAATGCAATGAAAATATCCTAGACTTTAGGGTATTTACTTGTAAAAAGAAAATAATATTTTTGGGTGCATATAATTTTATGAGAATTATATGAGCTAAAATATGTGATATGCCTACTTAGGCCTGGCCAATAATGGAATAATATAAATAATATTTGCTTCTCAAATTATGGACATATATATGTGTGAGTGTGTGTGAAACTTTAATGCATTTTATATGTAATATAAGCCCACACAAATATATATATGTATGTGTATATATATATATATATATATATATATGTATATATACATATATATATATATAATTAGTATGCATCTAGTAGCAAATAAACAAAATAAGAGGTTTACAATATATCTCATTAAACTTCCAGGTCATGCATAGAAAATTCCTATTGAGCCATAAGTTGCTTTATTCTATTGAAATGTTTCTAATTCAAAATTTTATTTCATAGGCATGCATATATTCAAGATCATTAAATTTGCAATATATTAATGAAGGACTTAGGGTACCCTGTACAAGCCAGTTAACATATGAGCACTTAACTGATGTTGAAATAATCTTGCTAAAAATATATCCTACCAACAAACATTGGGTTCTTGTATCATTTCCAATTTGGATAATAAATGAATATTTGACAGCAATTTTTATAACCAACTGCAAGATTTTTGTTTTGTTTAGGTGATCTAAATATCTGGACTATTCAGTGGATATCCCACCTTTTTTTTTTTTTTTTTTGTCTAAAACAGTGTCTTGCCCTGTCGCCCAGGCTGGAGTACAATGGCGCGATCTCAGTTCACTGCAACCTCCACCTGCTGGGTTCAAGGGATTCTCCTGCCTCAGCCTCCCGAGTAGCTGGGATTACAAGTGTGCGCCACCACGCCTGGCTAATTTTTTGGGATATCCCATCTTAAAACAGCAAGTATTACTTAGACATTTGCTGCCATAGTAGTTTAAGAGTCTTGCTTTTTAAAAAATCTATCATGATACTCATGTTGGTGATATGTGTAGACCCTAACAAAGTGGAAGCTTCATATAAATAAACCATAATAAAAATGCATTGCAAATTTCTTTTTAAAATTGTAACAAGATTTATCACTTTTGTTAGATCTGACACAACTTACTTATTAGAGAGTAACAAGTGTGCACATCTGTATATTTGCATACTAAAAATAGATTTTCAAGAAACAAAAGGTTACTTAGAATATATAACCCCTTACTTGTTTAAATTATATGTTTCTGAGTGGAGTATTATGATCTTGTTTTCAGCTATATGTATGTGACTACCTAATTACAAAGCAGGCATTTTAAATATAAGTGTTTGTTTCAAAGCATTGTATCTCAGAATAAAAATGTATTAACAGCAGTGTTCAAGGGTGAAGAGAGGCAGGCATGTTCAGTGGATTGAACATGGACCTCAAGATATTCATCCTCTGTTCTCAGTAAGTTTTATTGCTACTATAATTAATGCAGTGCAGACCCAATGTAACTCTTCGGCTATGAAAATGCTGACAGCATGATCAATCCATGAAGAATCACGTCATATTATTTTTATTTTACCTTAGACTCATTATTAGCTTAATTGAAATTTACAAGGGTAGCAGAGAATGGGATTAGGGTGATGATGTCACATTGTTAATGTCTACCTTTATTATGTTTTTATCAGCTTTGTAAAATAGGAAAAAATCTTTAGTGCCGGGGCTTGCTGGTTGGGGAAGGAAGTGTAACCAAGAGTATGTATAGAGGGGTGAGGGTTTAACAAACTGACCTAGGTATAGGAATAGACTCTGAGAAGGATGGCCATATTGTATTGCATCCAAATAGGAGCTTGTTTCAGTAACCATTGTTGTTTCAGGTTTTCCTCAGCAAGCTCCTTGCTGGTGTGTAAGGAATGCAAGAAAGGATGAGGAACAGTGATGAGAGTGTGCAGGATCCAGCCCTCTAGAAGAAGGATAATAAGAACTAGGGTAGATGTTAGGCTCCAGCCAGCTGGGTGTGGGTGGCTTAGAACATTCTACTGTATGACTGGGAATTACAGGACTTGACCAATAAACCATAGAAAAGAACCCCAGCCGTCACAGAGAATCCATTGATATAGCGGTCATGCAGGAATACAAATACCTGCATACTCGATCAAGAGCAAAAGTTGAGATCTAAATCTCACTTGGTAGTTTGCTGTGGCTCTTTACACACAGACACACACACACACACACACACACGCCTGCTCTCAGCTCAGGGATTACACGTGACTGAGCCTGTTGGCGGAATGTATCAGTGCCTCCAGCTGTGAGTGGTTGGGGGAGGCAGAGCATGATAAAGAGAATAGTGTCTCATTATGTTTGTCTATACTAAACTGGTACATCTACACTCTGAAGAGATAAAGATATCTACCAATTCTAAGCCAATCCTTCTGTCACCTTGCATTTAGCTCCAGAAAATGTGGAAAGAAAAATAAACATATTGAGGCAAGTCTACACAAATATTAACATAAGCAATGACAATTGCATATGTAAAGCCAGATTCATATGCCACAATAAATAATCTATAGCATAATCAATTACATGGTGTTTACTTAACTGACATTTTGTGTATTTTCAATGGTGAAATATATTGCTACAACTTTTCTGAGGCCATAGGACACATAGTGGAGTCCTAACTAGTCACAGTAAGCTGGCTAATACCATTTTGATAGCACAAAACCTAGAATCTGAATCCCTTTATAAAGAGTTTATGCAAATGTACTGCTTATTCTGAGGCTATATGCTATTATAGTTGAACTTTTAAATAATAATTTTATTTAATGAGAATGTGTATGCTTCTAGCATTTTTCCATCTTTCTTACTTACTTATTCTATAAGGAAATAATAGTGTCATCACCACATACATTTTTAGTTCTCCTTAAACACATATGTTGGAAAACATGCTGGTGTTTTGGTAATATGGACAAAACTTTTTCCCTTATAAATGATACTTAATAAAAATTGGCTAAAACTTTTTATCCAGATCACAGTTAATGAAGCAAAGTGGATTGTATGCCTGTTTTCCTCCAATTGAAATAAAAATGAAAGCAAAAGATAATTCTACCCATACACTATCGGGCATGTGATTTTGGTCTGGTATGGGGGCTTTACTGTCTAATTTTTTTTCCTTTTTTGCATCATATCATATAATTTTATTTATACTCAGTGAAGATAATGCAAACTCTGGCCATAATTTAAGTTGAAGGTATTGCCTTTGAGAACTTGCAAATTAAGATCAATGGATAAAAAACTAAAAAATAAGCTTTGATTTTTGAACAGATAAACAATGTCATTTTTCTGCATTGTCCAAGGAAATCTTAATTAGAATTATAAGAGAAAAAATAGTTGTCATTTGTTGCAGAAAATGGGTGCTATCACTATGAGAAAAAAAGTTAGCACCTGCTGCTCAGAATAAATAGTGCATTGCAATTGGTACAGATCAGGCTTAGGGTTTAGTAAGTAATATTGATAAAGAGCATTAGGACATAATAACTAATTGATGAATAAAAGTCACAGGAAAATTTAACATCTCCTGCCCCTAAGTAAATGCCTTATCTTCTCTTCAGTGAGTTTCCAATAGTCTGACTTGTAGGCTGGGAGAACTGGGATGAATGCGTTTAGTAATTCTTCAAACAGCTTTGGATGAAGAACCTAATTAGGTAGCTCACTTGACTCAAAAGAAAATCTGCTTTTCCTAGCGAAAGCTGAATCTGCCCTGAATTTGAATGCCAAGATACTTGATAACAACTAACCTACGATATTTGCCTTTAATTTAGAAAATCAAATAGTGTTCTTTGCCAGTGATTTAATTTAATAATAATAATTTTTAGAAATGAAATAAGTCACTGGGAGGAGCTCATTTTCTATTCTGGTTGCATTAAAATATACTGAATGTTCTGCTATAATAAATTAACAAAAAGATATGACTATGTCCTAAGGAATCAAATAAAGTGTACCTGCTTCCCACATCTGCATAAATGCCAACAATCTGTCAACAAAATGAACAAAAATAATACATTTTTTATGGGAGTGGACACCCAATAAATGATTTCTGCAAGTGGTAACAATACTTTGATTCACGTTCATATAGCAATTCAGGTTATAATTTTCATTCCTATGGTGGTCACAACCATCTCAAATTCCCCATCAACTTTAATTTTTCAGAAGGAATAATCAATATGCATGGTATTTCTCTCATTTGCCTTGAATTACAAATGATGACTCCAGCACCAGTGTTCCAGGCTTTATCTTGCAAATGGGACAGTGACTAATACATGAAGCCATGGAATTCTTGCACTGACATAATTTCCATAGTAGGCAAAATGAGTTTTTCTTATATAAGGATGGTCTGATCATTTCTCAAATCCAGCATTTCTGAAAATGCATTAATCTGTGCACATTTTGGAAGAGCAGTTAGCAAGTGTTAGAAGAAAGAACATAGAGATAGCAAGGATTCTAAACCCGCTCCTGACATTATCTTGCACCGTGTGCTTTGGCCAAATCACTTTCTCTAAGCTGCTATAATTTTCTAACTGTTTTATTTGTAAAGAAAGCTAATTCAGCCACTTCATTATTCTCCAATGGACACGGCAGGCAGGAGAAAGGGAAGGACGGCAACATTCATTCAAAGGAGCATATCAGAAAATCCTGGATGATTTTTTTTTTCTCAAACCACACATGCTTCTACCCAAAGTTTACTTTCCTCAGATCTTTCAGTTATAATAAAACATATTATTTGTAGTAATATGTCACCTATATTAATAGTACTTAGACTATAACCTGGTTAAAACCCACCAGACTAAATGATCTCTAATAGCTTCTTCCAAGGCTAATATTTTATGGATGTAAATAAAACGATGGCTTAGTTGTATTACTGCTAAATATTTATATCCAAGCCACCTCTTCCTTCACAAAATTGTACTAGGAAAATGAAATGATATTAACATATAATATAGTACAGTGTTTACCTGGTACATACTGTGCATTCCATAAATAAAAGTTGCCTTCCTTCTATGCAAAGCAATAGATAAGAGTTTTGCTTACACATAGTATGCTCCATAATATGCTCAGTGATGGGAGGTTGAAGAAAACATAGCTTCTCCAGAGGGGCATAGTAAATTTGAAATTTTTCTATCTGGACTTTGAGTTAACTCCAGATTCTGTTGATTTCTGTTGACATTTAGCAGTTTTTACTGCATTGTTTAGAAAAAAGCAATAACTATTCTCATGCCTGTGATATACAGAAAAACAGCCATATTATTGCATTTAGGATGATTTTTTTTTTGTTTAGTGAAAATTTTTCACAAGTATATGTCCTACTTTATTTGTTATACAGGAAATATTTCTGTCATTATTTAAAGGGTAGTTACTTGCTCTTTACGCCACAAAACAGTAATATATATTCTCTTCACAAATTGGAAGAGCAACTGATCAGTTGCATTTCATTTAAATTCTGTGGCTTCATTTTCATGCTCTAAGCATACAGACTACATACATTTGCTACACAGAAATACCTGTGTTTGGCACAATACATGATGACTTTTATAAGTAGATGTGTATCTACATTAGGAGAACTTGCAAAATGTAACACATTCAATATAGTTATTGTAGAATAATATCTATCCAAATATAGTGAACACATATTTATTTACATTAAAGCCAAGTCAAAATGACCATGTCTAAGACCTAGAGGAAGAAACAAATTGAGAGTGTATGTGAGAATAAAAAAGTGAAAGAGAAAAATATGAATTAAAAGTTGAGGCCGGGAATGGTGGGTCACGCCTGTAATCCCAGCACTTCGGGAGGCCAAAGGGGGAAGATCACTTGGGGTCAGGAGTTTCAGACCAGCCTAGCCAACATAGTGAAACCCCATCTCTACTAAAAATATAAAAATTAGCCGGGCACGGTAGCAGGCACCTGTAATCCCAGCTACTTGGGAAGCTGAGGCAGGAGAATCGCTTGACCCCGGGAGCTGGAGGTTGCAGTGAGCAGAGATCGCGCCACTAAACTCCAGTCTGGACAACAGAGTGAGACTCATCTCAAAAAGATAAAAAATAAAAACATAAAATAAATAAAAAATAAGTTGATATAGTTTGGATGTTTGTCCCCTCCAAATCTCATGTTGAAAAGTGGCCCCCAATGTTAGAAGTAGGCTTAGTGGCAGGTGTTTTGGTCATGGGTGCAGATCCATCATGAATGGCTTGGTGACCTCCCCATGGTAATGAGGGAGTTGTTACTTTATTAGTTCATGCAAGAGCTGTCTATTACATAAGAGTGTAGCACCCCCTTCTTTGCTGTTGCTCTCTCTCTCACCATGTGGCATGCCTGCCTTTACGTCACCTTCCACCATGAGTAGTACAGTCTCACCAGAAGCCAAGCAGATACAAGTTCCCTGCTTGTACGGCCTGCAGAATAGTGAGCCAAATAAACTTCTTTTCTTTATAAATTACTCAGCTTCAAGTATTTTGTTATAGCAACTCAAAACAGACTAAAATTTGTGCAAAAGTCAGAAAATGTTAACAAATTATATATGCTCCTGAAGTATATCAATTGAATATAAATTGTATATAATGATAAGTTATTATGGCCTTAATATAAAACCACAGAGTCCTTTATTTTAATACAATCCAGTAATAACTAGCTAAGCTTTTCTTTGACAAAAACAAATGACAGTAGGGCCTTCAGTCCTTTGAAACCTCAGCTGGACTGGGCACTCAAAATGGTTCACTGATGTAACTGGTATTAGATGCTGACTGGAGGCTGGGACCCCAGTTGAGACTTTCCAATAGATTACCATGGTAGTTGCCGAGCAATCGGCCTTCCTATATGACCTCAATCTACCACCAAATAAGTATTCCAAGAGATCCTAGTAGAAACTTTAGAGCCTTTTCTATTCTAGCTCTGGGAGCCATATACCATTATTTCTCTTGCCCTGTGACGCTCAAAGCAGTCTAAAATCCAGTCACATCGGAGGGGTGACATGCTTTGGATTTTTCCTCCTGCCCACGTCTCATGTTGAATTGTAATCCCCAGTGTTGGAGGAGGGGCCTGGTGGGGGTGACTGGATCATGGGGGCAGATTTTCCTCTTGCTGTACTCACGATAGTGAGTGAGTTCTCATCATATTTGATTGTTTAAAAGTGTGTAGGACCTCCTCCTTCTCTCTCTTTCCCTTGCCCGGGCCATGTAAGACATGCCTCCTTCCTCTTCACCATCTGCCATTATTGTAAGCTTCCTGAGGCCTCCCAAGCCATGCTTCCTGTACAGCTTGTGGAACCGTGAGCCAATTAAACATTTTTACTTTATAAATTACCCAGTCTCAGGTAGTTCTTTATAACAACGTGAGAAAGGACTAGTAGAGAAAATGGGTACTGACAGTGGGGTGTTGTTATAAAGATACCTGCAAATGTGGAAACGACATTGGATCTGGGTAATGGGCGGAGGTTAAAATAGTCTGGAGGGCTCAGAAGACAGGAAAATGAGAGGAAGCTTGAAGCTTCCTAGATACTTGTTACATTGTTGGGACCAAAATGCTGATAGTGATATGGACAATGATGTCCAGACTGAGAAGGCCTCTCAGATGGAGATGAGGAGTTTATCGGGGACTGAATCATAAGTTATTTTTGTTATGCAGTAGCAAGGAGGTTAGAGGCAATGCACTTCTGCCCTAGAGATCCATGGAACGTTGAACCTGAGAGAGATGATTTAGGGTATCTGGTGGAACAAATGTCTATGCAGCAAAGCACTAAAGATATAGCCTGGCTGCTTGTAACGACATATGCTAATATATGTGAGCAAAATGATGGTCTGAATCTGGAACTTACATTTAAAAGGGAAGCAGAGCATGCAAGTTTGGAACATTTTTAACCAGGCTACGTAGTAGAAAAGAAAAACCCATTTTCAGGGGCAGAATTCAAGCCAGCCGCAGATATTTGCAAAAGTAAAGAGTAACCAAGTGCTAATAGCCAAGACAATGGGGTAAAGACCTCAAAGGCATTTCAGAGACCCTTGCAGCAGCCCCTTCCATAACAGGCCCAGATGCCTAGGAAGGAAGAATGGTTTACTTGGCCAGGCCCAGGGCCCTGCTGCCTTACACAACCTTGGAACACTGCCTTCTGCTTCCTAACTGCTCCAGCTCCAGCCATGGCTAAAAAGGCCCCACCCAAAATGTGAGAGTGTCAGTTAGTTCAACCATTGTGGAAGACAGTGTAGCAATTCCTCAAAGACCTAAAGACAGAAGTACTATTTTACTCAGCAATCCCATTACCGGGTATACACTTAAAAGAATATAAATCATTGGGAGATATACCTAATGCTAGATGACGAGTTAGTGGGTGCAGCGCACCAGCATCGCACATGTATACATATGTAACGAACCTGCACGTTGTGCACATGTACCCTAAAACTTAAAGTATAATTAAAAAAAAAAAGAATATAAATCATTCTATTTTAAAGACACATGCACATGTAGGTTCACTGCAACACTATTCACAATAGCAAAGACATGGGATCAATCTCAATGCCCATCAATGATAGACTGGATAAAGAAAATGTGGTGCATGTCACCATGGAATACTATGCAGCCATAAAAAAGAATGAGATCATGTCCTTTGCAGAGATATAGATAGAGCTGGAGGCCATTATCCTTAGCGAACTAGTACAGGGGAAAAAAAAAAAAACAAATACTGCATGTTCCCACTTATAAGTGGGAGCTAAATGATGCGAACACATGGACACATAGAGGGGAACAACAGACACTGGAGCCTATCCGAAGGTGAGGGTAGGAGGAGGGAGAGGATCAGGAAAAATAACTAATGGTATTAAGGTTAATAGCTGGGTGATGAAATAACCTGTACAACACACCCACGTGACACAAGTTTACCTACGTAACAAACCTGAACATATACCTCTGAGATTAAAATACAAGTTAAAAAAAAGAAATATGACATTAAGCATCCAATTTGAAAATGTATTTGGCATATACATACTCTTACACTAGGAAGAAGAAGATAAATTGCACCATATCGTCTCGAAGACACCTGTCATTTCTATTACACTGTGCTTCATAATTCATAAATAAAAGTGAAAATATTACAAAAGTAATATTTTGTAATACAGAAATAATCAGAAGCTACATCATGATAAGCCTTTTAAGTTGTTTTAAGAAATAACTATAACCCAGTGACAACTGATCAGGGGCCCTTGTGGGAGGTTAAAGGAGGGGAATGATATAATATGAATTGTATTTCCAAAAGAGCACTCTGACTGATGTGAGAATGAATTGGAGAAGGCCAAAACAGAAGAGAGAGGAATCTAATTTGGAGATAGATAGGCATCACTGCTAATACATTGGATGTGGCTCATTAAGAAAAGAGAGAAATCAAGAATGACCCTTAGGTGTTTGGCCTAAAATATAGGTGGATATTGGTGCATTAATGTATATATGGGAAACTAGCAGATGAGCAGTTTGGGGGAGAAAATCAAGCATTTTCCTTTGGACAAGTTTGAATATTTCACAGTAGGCAGTTAGATCTGAGAGTATTTGAGTGAGTGATGAAGACTTGAATCAATAAGGACTAGAGCCATGGTGAGGCGCACAACAAAATGACAAAGGATATGACACTAAGGGAGGAACTATATCTATTTGATTCAGTCTTAATGCACATTAAAATGATCAAGAGGCTGGGAAGGTAAGGTTTTGTAGATAAATCAATCAGCAAACTAAAAGTTTGCTTGTGGTTTATCTTAATCTGGCTTCTTTAGAAAATAGAGTTTGAAGTCAGAAGTAAGTGCTGATGTTATTTTTGAGAAATTCAATCCAAGGACAGTAACAGTGGAGAAAAGGGGAAGCTAGGTAAAAAGGATGGGAATCAACTCAAGTTGATATGCTGGCCAAGCCAGTAGACTGTTGAGCACGTAAATTCTCTCAACCACATGGATCTCCAGCTAGGCAGTAGAGCAATTCTTAGAAGAGTCTGTGGGAGGAAGAAATGCATTTATCTGCATGATTCTCGGCTTTCCTCTCTTTATGACTGGTCAATGAGATAAACAGTATTTATGTATATGCCACATACATTTTCAAATTGGACGCTTAATGCCACATTTCCTTTTTTTAACTTGTATTTTAACTTCAGGCGTACATGTTCAGGTTTGTTACACAGGTAAACTTGTGTCATGGGGGCTTGTTGTACAGATTATCTCATCACCTTTACAGCCCCATACTTCTGGGTTAAGTCATCCTATATAGACTGCTTAGAAACCAACTGAAGCACTCTGCAACAAGGTGTATATACAAGTTGCAGGATAAATCAAAAACTCAAGGTGCACATTTAGTGTGTCTGGTTGTGTGCTAATACTCAAAGGGGATGCCTGGCTCTTACAGGTAATTTACAGATTGGCCCTGGGTGAGAAACCATGCAGCCTAAGTAAGGTGGGTTAACATATGGGTGGTAGTTCAGGCAAAGCAAGCAGCTAAAGCTCATGGTCCTGTGGGAATCTCTGAAGATATATATGACATATTCAATATACAGCTGCTTTTGAAAATAAAGTGAATACAATTACACCCTAACTGTGCCCGACCCCCCTCCCAAAAAAAGAAAAAATTGTGAATTAGTTGTTAGCCTCAGTGTAATCTGTTAAATCGGTTAAGTGATCCATATTGATCTGGCCTTCAACAGGAGTGATCATGTTTTCCTTTAAAACAGATAGCGACAAAAGAAAAAAAAACAGTATCTCATGATATAATAGAAAGTTCATTAGATTTAGTACAGGGTGTTTAAAGCAATGCATTCAATTTGAAGTTATCAGCTGTGTTTGTTTCCATTCCCTGTACTCCATTTATTGTCCTCTCTGTCCAAATCATAAGAAAATGGGAGGCCGAAATATGCGTGTTTAAATATAACAAGCACCAATTTTCCAACAAAGTACCTGTGCATACCATACTAAAAGGTAATGTGAAAGGGACATGACACAAAATATATATCAAAAATACTCTTCACCAAACGTGGTGGCTCACGTCTGTAATCCCAGCACTTTGGTAGGCCGAGGCGGGTGGATAACCTGAGATCAGGAGTTTGAGACCAGCCTGGCCAAAATGGCGAAACCCTTTCTCTAAAAAATAATACAAAAAATTGGCCAGGTGTGGTGGTGTGCACCTGTGGTACCAGCTACCAGGTAGGCTGAGGTGGGAGGATTGCTTGAGCATGAGAATTTGAGGCTACAGTGAGCCGAGATCACACTACTGCCCTCCAGCCTGGGCAATAGAGTGCGATCCTGTCTCAAAAACAAGCAAACAAAACACCACACAAAACTCTTCAAAAGACTTCTTTTTGTAAATAGAAAAAATTCATAGAAAAAGTCTCTATTTTTTAAAGCAAATAAAAACACTGTCTTTGGAAAAGTAATTCAAAGAAATAGGAGATCAGATAACAAGCAATTAGACAAAAAAAAGGGACAAATACTGCAGAATTAGACTACATAGAAACCATAAAGCCATTTCAAAAAATAAAAGTTACATCAAAGGCAGAAATAAAGCAGCCAAAAAAATAGTAAAAGTCAGTTAAATGGAGGGCAGATATAAGAAAATAACTTACCTAAATTAGACAGCCTCTATCAGCCATAAACTGTTTCAGTCTAATTCAACCCCAAATCCTATCAATTCTACTCAATGCTTTAAATTTGTCTACCTCTAACTCCATTCTCTTTCTAGTCTAAGACCAAAACACCGTCATTTCTTTTTTTACCATCATAGTTTCCCAACTTGTTCCCTAACTTCTGCCCTTGCCCCAACTCGATCTCTCTCCTTAACAACAGACAGAAGCAGTTTTAAAACTTCAAATATGCTCGTGTCTCTTCCTCATTTAAAGCCCTCCAATGGTTTTCCATTGCAATTTAAGATAGAATAAAATCTATAGCATGGCCTATAATTTCCCTGTATAACCTATTGTGCTGTTTCGTTTCCTTCTATGACAAAAATAATATGTTATATGTGTGTGGGTAATTACTTATGCAATTATTATTATTTATGAAATGGGAATGACACAGAAAAGGCTGCTTCCTAGGCATTAGAAGTAGAATACCATACGCAATGGCTCAAACAGGTAGCCAAAGATGAAAACTTAGAGGTATCTCTCCTGCCTAGCAAACTGGACTCTTAGCTGTTCTGACTGCCTTCTTTAAATAGACCATTTAGGCATTTAATGCCTGGAAACATAAAGTGACTCACACCATACTCCCTTATATACTACTACTTGCCACATGTGCTCTCTCGTGCTCTCTCTCTCTCTCTCTCGTCTGCCTGACTCTTCATTCCTGGCTCACATAACCTGGGAATGGAAGAATTCTCTCCCGACTCATTGCATCTTCCCTGTCCAGGATCTGTAAGTGAAAATCCTTGAACTTTTCCTATTGTGGTGGTGTATTGAATTTAAGCCTTCTATCTGAAGAGCCGATGGCTCCCCCAGGCAAGGGTTTCCAGGGTTTGGGAGAGAAGATAAGATCAGGCTCCCAGTGCTACAGCAATGGTCAGGTAGGCATAAACTGGACATGAGTCAGTCAGGAGCTACAGGAGCATCTGCCAGTATAAACAAGCTTTCCATGTGAAGACTGGACATTAGGCTATCCTCCAGGTAAAAGAAGTATCCTATGAAAGGCATCCTGTAACTACCCACATCCAACTCCCCTTCGTTTCCCTTTACGGCAGAGTTGCTAGCCGCTCTGGTATTGGAGCCCTAATTTAGCTGGGAGCTTTTCAAATAACATTATTATTTAATGTGTTGTATGCATACATTTTGTGTATTAATATCGTTTATTACTTACTACATATAAGGTCCATAAAGGTCTGTTTTCTTACCACTATACCTACAGTGCTTTAACAGCTATACTTTTAAATTTAAAAAAATGAATGAAGAAATTACCAGAAACGTATAAGGCCTAAAATATGTCTACTTAAATTATGATAGTCACACAGTTACTAAATTTAAACACAAACACTATTTGTATCATAACAATAGGATTCAAAAGTTTATCTGGAATAAGATTCCATATCTAATAAACTTTTAAAAAATAAGAGTACTGGTGGAGTGAAGAAACTGAATCTACAAACAATTAAACCTATAACTAGTTATCATAATTTAAATGAAGTGTTACTGTTGTGAGCATAGACAGAAATATTAGTGGAAGAGGGAAATACATCTAGATGTTTCTTTCTGTATAGAAGTGTATGTGTGTGTGTGTTGATAAATACATACATAGAGAAAGATAGAATAAATGTCATAGAATAAATATCAAAATGAGTAAATATCAATGAGGACAAGATGAACCATCCAATTATTTAGAGACATCTGATAATCACTTAGGAAAAATTAAGCTGGACCCATTTTACTTCCTTATAACAGTAAAACTTCTAGTTGGATTTTAGATAGAAAAAAGTTAGTGAAATCATAAAATCACAAGGATAAAATGCAAAAGAAATATTTTTAAAGTCTTGGAGTGAGGAAGCACTTCCTCAGAAAGACAGAAGCCATAAAGAAAGCAATTGATAAAATGTAGTATCTAAACATTTAAAAATTTCATGTACCAAGAAATAGTATAAACGTTTCAAAAGACAATAACTGGAAAAAAATTCAACTCCTTAATAGGCTGAGGCCTGTTATTATTAACACATGTATAGTTCTTACAAGTTTGCAAGGGGAACACACAGATAAACTGGTAAAAAAAAAAAAAAAGAGGCGGGGATAAAAATTGGGAACAAGATATCCAGAGAAAAAATAAAAATGATTAATAAACATGAAACGATAGTTAACTTCACTAAGAATTTATGGAATATATTATAGTTTGTCTATCAGATATTTTTTAAAAAGTGAAAAGGTGGTAAACTACCTTACTGTCAAGGATATGAAGAAACCTGCTCTATCATTCATTGTTGGTTCAATGTAAATTGGCATATCTTACCCAACAACAACACAGGAATATCTCTCAACACATAAATATTCATATGCCTCTGCTCAGCATTTCTAATTTTATAAATTTATCCTATAGAAAGACATGCACAAATATTTACACATGCATTTGTAAAAATTTGCAATATCATGTTACTAAAAATAACAAGTTGAAACTACTTAATTATCAATCAATAGGGTATTTGACATGTAAATTAGCAAATCTTCATGCACCGATTCAATGCAATACTATGCAACAATTAAAAGGGATGGTAGATATATAGGAGCTGAAATAAACAATATGTCCAATACATATTAAAAGAAAATAAACAAAGATCCAGGGCAAAGAGGAGTATATATTATATGCCATTTTTGTAGAAAAGGAAAAAATTATATAACATATGTTACATGTCATATGAAATATGCCAAATGCCGTAATACATAGTCCAATGAAAATGTGGCATTGTACATGCTCTGTATCATCTGGCATATATCAAATGTCATAATATCGATAACTTTGTAAGGATACACTAGAAATTTTGAACAGAGCTTATCTTTGAGAATTAAAATTAAGGATCAGGCTCAGAGAAGTTTCTTTTATTTTTAACTTCAAAAACTTATGTATATAATTTTTAATTTTTTTTCTAACAAATAATATTTCTGAAACTTTTTAATATTAGTTACAAATGTTACAGAAAGGATAATAGAAGTCCTGACAACTGTCCATTTGATTTACCAGCATTAGTCACCCTGTTTACAGTACTTTCAATGTTAATTTAATGCATACTTAAAGACCCAAATAATAAAAATATAATAATAAATTTTAATTATGTAAATATTTTTCAAGAATAGCTTTAGAATTTTGAAGTCAATGTAGTACTTGTATTTCTAGCACTTGTTCATGCTTACCACTCTCTATTTATTGGTTTGAATGTCCCTGCAGTTGGCTTCTTCAAAAGATTATTATTCTTGCGTTCTATCTTCATCTTTCTTTCAGTGGAAGTACAATTTAGATGATTTTCTACTGAAGAGTGAATGAGCAGTATGTTTTATGAACCCTAGTATATGTTAGAAGAGCGTTCTCCAACTAGTGTGCCATATCAGAAGAGTGTACCAAATATGAATGACAAGTGTACTGGTGAATAGATTTCCTAAAATTTTGGGGTGGCTAGTCATAGATTGGGGCACCCAGAACCTTTAGGCTAATTGTCCCTTATGAGCAGCCATATCTAGTTATCCTATTATGCAATTAAAACATCATTTTCTATGTGTGCCATGAGGTGAAAAAAAGGGTAAGGAGGTCAGTACGACTGAGTTAGAATATCATTATCATTGCTTTATTCCTACGTACATGACAAGTTAGCAGAGTAGGAATCTTAGGTTATAGATTTTTTTCCCAGGAATAATTGTACACATTTCTCCATTCTTTTCATGCATTTAGTTTTTTCTGAATAAAAAATTGAATTCGGGCTGATTTTCTGAATTCATCAGTAAACTTTTTTTCCTGCTTTGAATATTGTAGGATTTGTAAATTTAACATTTAAATGAATGTTTTTGCAAATATATCCCATAGTATGAGTCTCTTTCCTTAATTTTGTCTAAATATTGAGGAGTAGTTTCAATTTCTATATACTCATCTGCTGTCAGCTAGGGAATTTTTTTTCTATTTTATCTTTTTTTACTGCTTGAATTCCTATTGCTCTAGTTTCTGCTCTGAATACCTCTACTTCTTAGGTCCTCAAAATTACATAGTGTTGTTTCCCATTTTTATTATGGTAAAATACATATAAAATTTACCATCTCAACCATTTTCAAACACACAGATGAGTGGTAGAAAACACATTCAGTTGGGAGGCCAAGATGGGCGGATCACGAGGTCAGGAGATTGAGACCATCCTGGCTAACACGGTGAAACCCCATCTCTACTAAAAATACAAAAAATTAGCAGGGTGTGGTGGCAGGCACCTGTAGTCCCAGCTACTCGGGAGGCTGAGGCAGGAGAATGGCGTGAACCCGGGAGGCGGTGGAGCTTGCAGTAAGCCTAGATCGCGCCACTACACTCCAGCCTGGGCGACAGAACGAGACTCCGTCTCAAAAAAAAAAAAAAAAAAGAAAAAAAAGAAAACACATTCACAATGTTGTGCAAGCATCACCACCACCCATTTCTATGTATATAATTTTTAAGTTTTTTCTAACAAATAATATTATTAATAATATTTCCATCTTGGAAAACTGAAACTCTGTACCTATTAAACAATAATCCCCCATTCCTCCTTCCCCCTGCCCTCTGACAGTGACCATTCTGCTTTTTGTCTCTACAATTTTGACTACTCTAAGTACCTCATATATCATACGGTATTTCTCTTTTTTCCACTGGTGTATTCCACTCATGACAATGTCCTCAAGGTTTATTCATGTTGTAGTCTATGTCAGGATTGTATTCCTTTTTGAGGCTGAGTAATATTCGACTGCATGTATATACAGATCTTGCTTATCCATTCATCTGTCCATGGATACTTGGGTTGCTCCCACATTTTAGCTACTGTGAATAAAGCTGCTATGAACTTGGATGTACAAGTATCTCTTCAAGACCCTGCTTTCAATTCATTTGGGCATATACCCAGAAATGGAATTGTTGGATTATATTGTAATTCTATTTTTAACTTTCTTAGGAACTGCCATACTCTTTTCCACAGTGGCTGCACTATTTTACATTCCTACCAGTAGTGCACATAGGTTCCAATTTCTCCAAATCCTTGCCAACACTTCTTACTTTGTTTCGAAAGTAGCCATGCTAACTGGTTGTGAGGGGGCATCCCATTGTAGTTTTGATTTTCATTTTTATAATGATTACTAATGATACGCATCTCTTTATGTGCTTATTGGTCATTTGTATAATTTCTTTTTTACATTTTATTTGTTCATTTATTTTTATTTATAATTATGGACACATACTAGTTCTACACATTTATTGGATACATGTGATATTTTGATGCAAGCATACCATGTGCAATGATTAAGTCAAAGAAATTGAGGTATTCACCACCCCAAGCATTTATCATTCACCATCCCAAGCATTTATCATTTATTTGTGTTAGAAACATTGCCATACCATTCTTATAGTTATGTGAAAACACAAAATAAATTACTGTCAACTACAGTCACCCTATTTTACTACTGAACACTAGATCTTATAACTTCTAACTATATTTTTGTATTCATTAACAATTGCTTCTTTATTGCCCCCTCCCCACTATCCTTCTTAGCCTCTGATAACTATGATTTTACTCTCCACCTCCAGGAATTCAATTTTTTCAGTTTCCACTTATTTGTGAAAAGTTCCATCCATGTTGTTTCAAATGAAATAATTTTGTTATTTTTTATGCCTGAATAATATTCCATTGTGTATATATACCATATTTTCTTTATTCATTTATCCATCGATTGACATTTGGGTTGAATCTGTATCTTAATTATTGTGAACAGTGCTGCAATAAACATGGGAGTGCAAATATCTTTTGGATATACTGATTTCTTTTCTATTGAATATATGCCTATCTGTGGGATTGCTGGATCATATGGTAGTTCTAGTTTTAGTTTTTTGAGAACCTCCATAATGGCTGTACTAATTTACTGTTTTCCATAGTGGTTATACTAATTTACATTCCTGCCAGCAATGTACAAGGGTTCCCCTTTCTCCACATTCTCATCAGCATTAGTTTTAGCCTGTAATATGAGTTAAGATAAATGAAATGGAGAATAGTAAAAGAATAGATAATAATCAACAAAACTAAGAGTTAGTTTTGTGAGAAGATCAACAATGTTGACAAACTTTCATCTAGATTAACTAAGAATAAAAGAGAGAAAATTCAAGTGTGAAAGAAAAATAAATCTTGGGACCCCAAACTCATTAAGCCAAAGGAAAAGTCAAGCTGAAAACTGGGTTATGCACACCTGCATTCCCTTTTGGTTCCTAAATAAGATGGCTACAGATTAAAAGCTACATACCTCCCTCATATTTTGCCCACAAGGAAATTCCTAGTGGACTCCAAGATGTTTATCTTAAAGTATGTCTGTAAAAATTCACCATGGCAAAGTAAATTAATAGCTTATCTTTACACGTTCATAGGACAGAACTCAAAGGAAAGATTTTAATTTATGTGTCATCCCCCTGCCTACCTGACACAAATGTATATCTGATTATTACCCCTGTCCTATTGTCTATGTTATCTTATGCAAAAATGCATTCACTGAACCAGACAAAGGCATGAATGACTATTTTCCCCCGCCCTCCTCTTACATGAAAATTGTGTATTTCTCAATATTTTCCCCTCTAAATTTGGAGCCCTCAAAATCAGCTTCAGAGAAAGGCATAGGCCTGTCTCCCCAGTGCTCGTCCTTAACTTTGACAAGTAAACCTCCTAAAATGATTGAAATTTTTCCCGGTCATTTTTTTTTAATGTTCTTAACAGCTTTATTTGTAGGAATCCCAAACTGGAGACAACTCAAATGCCTATTAATAGATAAACAAATAAACAAATTGTAGTGTATCTCTACAATGGAATACTCAACAATAACAAGGAATGATATCTGTAACTACATGGTTAAATCGTAAAACTATGCTGAGTGAAAGAAATCAGACACAAAATAGTACATTGTATGATTCCATTTATGTGGAACTCCAAAAAAGACAAATATAATCTAGAGTGACAGCAGATCAGTTATTTTTTAACTAATTAATTAATTAATTTTTGTATATGAATAGATTCTTTAGTGGTGATTTCTGAGATTTTGATGCACCCATCACCTGAGCAGTGTACACTGTACCCAATGTGTACTCTTATCCCTCACCCCCTTACACCCCTTCACCTGAGTCTCCAAACACCGTTGTATTAGTCTTATGCCTTTATGTCCTCATAGCTTAGATCCCACTTCTGACTGAGAACGTACAATGTTTGGCTTTCCATTCCTGAGTTACTTCACTTAGATTAACAGTCTCCAATTCTATCCAGGTTACTGCAAATGCCATTACTTCGGTCCTTTTTATGGGTAAGTAGCATCTCTGTCATTTTTCTTGATTGAAACAAGTAACTAAAATCAGAAATGAAAAGAGGAGAACATGATGACTGATGCCATAAAAATAAAAAATCTAACAAGAGAATATATGAGGAACTGTATGCCAATAAATCAGATAATCTAAAAAAAACCAGCAATTACTAGACACCCAAACTATCAAGACTGAACCATGAATAAATAGAAAATATGAACAAACCAATAATGAGTAAAGGGATGGAATCAGTAATCAAAAACCTCCCAGCAATATCCAGGACCAGATGGCTTCCCTGCAGAATTCTACTAAAGAAATAACACCATTCATCCTGATACCTGCAAAAAAAAAAAAAAAAAAAAAAAAGGGAGGGAAAACTTCTAAGTTTATTCTACGAGACCTGAATTATTCTGCTACCAAAGCCAGGCAATTAAACTACAAAAAAAGAAAGCTACATACCAATATTCCTAAAGAATATTAATGCAAAAATCTTCAAGGAAATACTAACAAACCAAATTCAACAGGACATGCAGCACATCAACATGGCACATGTATACATATGTAACAAACCTGCACATTGTGCACATGTACCCTAAAACTTAAAGTATAATAATAACAATAATAAAGGATTATATACCTTGACCAAGTGGAATTTATTCCTAGAATGTAAAGATGGTTCAATCTATGAAGATCAATTAGTGTAATACACTGTGTTAACAGAATAGAGGACACACATGGCCTTCTCAAGTGATGCAGAAAAGAAGCATTTGACAAGATATAACAAGCTTTTATAACAAAAATACTCAGCAAAGTAGAAATAGAAGGAAATTACCTCAACATAATAAAACCCACTTACTCAAAGTCTATGACTAGCATCATACTAAATAGTGAAATATAAAGAGCTTTTTCTGGAAGACCAATAACAAGGTAAGGATGCCCACTGTCAGCACTTCTATCTAACATGGTATTGGAAGTATTAGCCAGAGCAAGTGAACAAAATTGATTAATTAATTACTTAATTAATGACTCCAAGTTGGGAAGGGATAAGTCAAATTACTTTGTTCATAGAATACATGATCTTACTGGTAAAAAAACAACAACTTTACAAAACTATCTTAAAACTAATAAATGAATTCAGCAAACTTGTAGAAAACAAAATCAACACAAAAATCAGGTATTTCTATTCACTAACAGTGAACAATCTGAAAATACAACTGAGAAAACCATTATATTTATCATAGCATATAAAAAATAAAATACTTAGGAATAAACCTAACCAAAGAGATAAAAGACTTGTACACTAAAATCAATAAAACATTGCTGAAATAAATTAAAGAAGACACAAATAAATTGAAAGATATAAAATGCCTATGGATTGAAATACTTAATATTATTATGATGTCCATAATATTCAAAGTGATTGATAGTTTAAATTCAATCTCAAAATCCCAATGTCATTTTTTGCCAAAATTAAAAGATTAATCCTAAAATTAACATGAAATATCAATAAACTCCAATTATCCAAAACAGTTTTGAAAACAAAATAACAAAGTTGGAGCCCTTCAATCTCACCTGAAACCCCAATGTCATTTTTTTGGCCAAAATAGAAAGATGAATCTTAAAATTAACATAAAATATCAAGTAACTCCAAATATCCAAAACAATTTTGAAAAGAGAATAACAAATTTAGAGCCTTCATACTTCCGGATTCCAGATCATATTACACAGCTACAGTAATTAAAACTGTGGTACTGGCATAAAGAAATATAAATATTCCAATGGAATAGAATAGAGATCCCAGAAATAAATCCACACATTTGTGATCCACTGATGTTCAGCCAGGTTGCCAAGGCCACTCAATGGAGAAATTACAGTCTTTTTAACAAGTGATGTTAGAAAAGCTGGGTAACATATGCAAAAAAAAAGTAGGACTCATATTAATCCCATATAAATATGAACTCAAAACAGGTTAAAAACCTAAATGTAAGACTTAAGATTGTACCACTCCGAGAATACAGCACACGTGGAAACCTTTATGACAATGGATTTGGTAATTATTTCTTGGATATGACACTGAAAGCAGAGGCAACAAAAGCAAAACAGATAAATGGGACTGCATCAAACTTAGAAGCCCTTGTGAATCAAGGGATTCAATTAGCAGAGTGAAAAACAACTTATGAAATGGGAGAAAATATTTGCAAATCATATATCTGATAAAGAGTGAATACATAGTACATATAAAGAACTCCTACAGTTCAACAACAACAAAATAGTAGCCAGATTTTAAAATGGGCAAAGGACTTGAATAGACATTTCTCCAGAGATGATATATGAATGGCCAACAAGCATAAGAAAAGATGCTCAACATCACTAATCATGAGAGAAATATAAATCAAAACCAACAAGATGTATCACCTCATACCCTTTAGAATTGCTACTGTTAAAAAAAATAGAAAATGACAAGTGCTGGCAATGATGTCAAATAACGGCATCCCTTTTGTACTGTTAGTGGAATAGTTCTACTACTGTGGTAGCACTGTGGAAAATGTTGCAACCACCATAGAAAAATAAGTAAGGAAGTTCTTTGGAAAATTAAAAATAAAATTAACATATGATCCAGAAATCTCACTTCTGGGTATGTAACCCAAAGAATTGAAAGAAGGGTCTCAAGCAGATATTTGTATTCCAGCATTCAAAACAATACTATTCACAAGAGCAAAGAGATGTAAGCAACACAAATGTCCAGTCTTGTTATTCAAGAATGGATAAACAAAATGTTGTATTACATAAAATGGAGTGTTAGTCAACCTTAAAAATGTAGTAAGGTTGTCACATGCTACAACATGAATAGATCTTGAGAACATTATGTTAAGTGGAATAATCCAGTTACAAAAGACAAATACTACATTGTTGTACTAATATTGATGTATCTAATGTAGTCAAATTCATAGAAACAAAGCGGAATTGTGGTTACTAAGGGCTGGGGAAAAAGGGAAAAGGAGAGTTGTTTAATGTGTATAGAGTTTTAGATTTGCAATCTAACTTCTTGAGGTCTGTTTCACAGCAATGAGAATATACATAACACTACTGAGCTATAGACTTAAAGTGGATAAGAAGGTAAATTTTATGTTACATTTTTACAACCTAAATAAAGCACCTAAATAAAATGGTGAGATAATATTCTAGCTGTGTGATCTCTGTCCAGCAGAAAACAGATGCCACTCAAAAAGAGAATCTGAAAGTAAATTAAGACAAAGTTATTTATAAATGCATGGATAGAGTTAAAGTATGTGATTACCACAAAATGTTGTTGAAGTCCTTGGTTAAAAACAGTAGAAAATCCTCATTATGCCTTGGCCTGAAAGGGCAAGATGAGGGCGTAATCACCAGAATCCTGCAGGGGTTATGGATGTATGGAGAGAGCCACCTGAGAGGACCTGTGGCATTCAGTAGAGGAACACAGTCAATACCAAACTACACCCAGAATGGAGGAAATAATGGAATAAAGATCTTGACCTCTTACTCCTCCTGCCTCTAATCTCCATCTGGTGCCTCTTAGAAGCCAAACCTAATCTGAACCTTAGAGCAAGAGCTCCAGGTGATGCAGTTCATAGTAATCAGCCTTTGCAGTCACAGAGCAAGGTGGAGAAGGGTTAAGTGGGAACCTGGAGGGAAAGGCAGAATATTCAGCACACTCCAAACCTCCTTCTTCCTCTGTAAATGGGAATGAACGCAGTGCCTGACTCAATCACAGGGTTGCTTTAAAGATTAAATGAAAAAACCCATGAGAAGCTGATATGGTGTGGCTTTGTGTCCCTACTGAAATCTCATGTTGAATTGTGATCCCGAGTGTTGGAGGTGGAGCCTGATGGGAGGTGATTGGATTATGGGTGGTTTCTAATGGTTTAGCACCATCTCCCTAGTGCCGTCTCATGATAGAGTACTCACAAAACCCGGTTGTTTGAAAGTGTGTAGCACTTCCCCTTTCATTCTCTGTCTCTTCTACTCTGCCATGGTGAGACTTGCTTGCTTCCTCCTTTGCCGTCCACCATGATTGTAAGTTTCCTGATGCCTCCAAGCCATGCTTCCTGTACAGTCTGCTGAAATATGAGTCAATTAAATCCCTTTTCTTCATAAATTACCCTGTCTTAGATAGTCATTTATAGCAGTGGGAGAAGAGACTAATACAGAATCATTTAGCACAGTGCCTGGCATGTACCAAAGAACTGTTAGAGCAATATGCCATCTGCCTGTATAGTCAAGGCTCTACTATTCTAGCCATGAATGTTTATAAAATAAATTTCTCACGCTTTGGACTTCTATTCTTTCACAGATGTACAAGACTGGTCTAAGTGGCAGACAAACAACAGATCATAAGTAGTCCGCTATGTTCAATTCAGTGTGTTATCAGAATAACACCTTACATTTGGAATATGTTCTGAAGAGCAGAGAACTTTTGGCTTTTAAATAAAATATTTTAACACCTTTTCCTGAAATTCACTGTAATTTCTACATCCTCTATTTTCTATACTCTCAATTACTTGTTGGAGACCAGCCAGAGCCCTCAACAGCAGTCTGGGACATTTTAGGGGCAGATGATAGATAGAGACACTAGTGAGAGTTTGAATTGTAAGAAGATCAGGGAATAAAAGCTAGCTCTCAGCCTTAGGTAGTGAATTAAAAAGTGCCTGAGCCCCATCCCTAACCACAAACGAAAGAAGCAATAATTTACGAACCCCTGCCAAACACATATGAATTTATCATTCGGTTAGGAATACAATCTCAATTTGTAAAGAATTTCTCTAGAATTCATTTACCATTCACTTGCCAGTACTATTGATTATTCTAAATGTAGCTGCTCAAAATGTTTTTTTTTTAAAGGAAGTCTGCAATCTTCATATCATGTGCTTCAAAGTAACATTGCAAGCCTAAAGTTGAATCCATGGAATTCAGTAGCAAGTGATTGCATTTTTTTTCCCCACTGCCTTTGACATTTTGTGTAGCATCTCATTACGTATGAAGTAGGTATTTCTGTCTGCTGAACACTTAAATTCAACCAGTTGCCTTTATTCAGCAGTGGGGAGTAAGTCACTCCTCGTTACTGCAACTTTTTTTCTAACCATATGTTTTACAGATTCTCAATATAATTAACTTCACTACAGGCCCAGAAATTGAACTAATTAAAGATAGAAAACTGAGAATATAAATAGACTAAATAGATAAAAATATGAAAAAAAAAAGGAATTCTTGAAAATGACGTGCTCATGAGAACCTAAAAAAAAAGAGAAAATGATGAATGAAACTTTTTTCATAAAACACAGCTTTTATTCACATCAAGGGAAATATCAGGAACTTCAGAGGAGTAATATTACATAAAGAGAAGTGTCAGTTCCTTGAAGTTTGACCTTAGGTGTCAGTCTTACTCAGTGCTGAAGATTTTTTTGGCTGCTTCAGTAGGCTTAATTAACATATATTTTGTATTACTATAGCATTTCTTTCACCCTCTTCCTTACTCTGGGAGAGACTTAATTGTTTATATTTTGCTTTCCTACTTGATTTTGAGACTCTAGATACCCTACTGTAGCCCCATCATGGGAGACCAAGCTTGCCACACAGTAGGTACACCCTAAATACTCTAAGAAAGAATGAATAATCGACAGAAGATTTGCAGGAAAAAGAACCATAGCAACTTTTTGAAATATGACATAAATAACCCATTGAGAACTTTAGAGATATTTCCATTGCCCAAATAGAGAAATCAGAAATGCCTGAATACTCATTCATTCTGTTTCATTTCCTCATGTGTTTAAGCACCAAAGTAGACATTTTTGCTGTCTTCTTAGGATAGTGGGTGACAAGTACCAAGTATTGTGAAGGTTATTGATGGACAGATCGTTATAGAACATTTAAAAGAAATGAAGACATTCAGAATAAATTGCTCATAAAAGAAAACAGTTGTTTCTTTTAAGATGGCTACTAGTATAATAAGGAGTACTATACCATTTTATTACCCCTTGTCATAGTTACCTTACCCTCAGCCAAATGTGAGGGTTCAGTAGACTCTCATTGATGTCGTATGACCAAAGCTGTGTTAGTTACAGTTATAACTTGACCCATGTCTCCTGGAATATGGGTAGACACAGAGACTGGTGTTCTATTATTTCTGGAAAAATCTAAAAGCCTTCTCCTGAGACCTCGAGCAGAAAGAACTTCACAGGCACCAGCTTCACTTTCACCAACAGTAGGAAAGAGTTCCTGTGTCTTAAGAACAAAGTGGACACTATAGGTACTAGAGAGGCTAGAAAAATATTGACAGGTCGCAGAGTAGTAACGTTACCTCTCATCAGAATAAATGTAGGTTGGAGAGTAGGGAATAATGATTGTAACTGAATGAATGATGATGAAGTTTTCATTTGGAGTAAATAAATAAATAAATACATACATAAATAAATACATAAATAAATGTAACCATAGAAATATGCATAGAAGTCTCTGATGATCTTATGTATTTTTGTGGTATCAGTTGCAGTGTCCCCTTTTTCACTTCTCATTTGTGCTTATTTGAATCTTCTCTCTTCTTGGTTAGTCTAGCTAGCAGTCTCTCAATTTAATTTACGTTTTCAAAAGATTAACTTTCATTTCACTGACATTTTGTATTTTTTATTTGGCCCTCAATTTTATTTAGTTCTGGTCTGATCTTTGTTATTTCTTTTCTTCTGCTCTCTTGGGTTTGTTTTGTTCTTGCGTTTTGAGTTCCTTGAAGTATGACATTAGTTTTTAATTTTTGATCTTTCTATTTTATCAATGTAGGAATTTAAAGTTATAAACTTCCCTCTTAGCACTTCTTGGCTGTGCTTCTTTGTTTTGGTATGTTGTACCTCCATTTTTATTCATTTCAAATGAGTTATATTTTATTATTTTTTAATTTAAATGTTCATCTTAATTTTGTCATTGCCCACGAAATCATTCAGGAGTATGTTGTTTATTTTCCATGTATTCGTATAATTTCCAAGAGTTCTTCTTGGAATTGATTTCAAAATTTATTCTACTGTGGTCCAAGAAGATACTTTGTATGATTTTGATTGTTTGAAATTTATTAATACTTGTTTTGTGACCTAACATACAGTTTATCACCTTGGAGAACGTTCCATGAGCTGATGTGAAGAATGTATATCCTATGTTTGTTGTACAGAATGCTCTATAAATGTCTGTTAGCTCCATTTGATCTAAAGTCCAATTTGAATCCAGTGCTTCTGTTTGCTTTTTGTTTCTATTTCCATGAAATATCTCTTCATTTTTCTTTACTTTCATTCTATAAGTGTCTATCAATAAGGTGTGTCTCCTGCAAGTAGCATAGGGTCAGATCATGTTTTCTTTTAAAATCCATTCTGCCAATCTGTACCTTTTAAGTGGAGAATTTAATTCATTTATGTTCAAAGTTAATATTGATTTGTGAGATTTTGTTCCTGTCATTATGTTAATTATCTAGTTGTTTAGCTTCTTTTGTGTAAGTTTTTATAAGACCTGTGAGTTTTATACTTTTGTGTGTTTTTATGATGGTGACTGCTGACATCTTGTTTTTATGTTTGGAACTTCCTTGAACATTTCTTGCAGAATCAGTCTAGTGATGATGAATACCCTCAGTGTTTGCTTGTCTGGGAAACGCTTTATTTATATTTCATTTATGAAGCTTATTCTGGCAGTATACAAGACACTCATGAAAGAAACTTTAGATGACACAAACAAATGGAAAAACATCCTATGCTCATGGATTGGAAGAATTAATATAGTTAAAATGACCATACTTCCCAAAGCAATCTATAGATTCAATGCAATTTCTATCAAAATACCAACATCATTTTTCACAGAATTAGAAAAATAGTCATAAAATTAATATGGGACCAAAAAAGAACCTGAATAGCTAAAGCAATTTTAAGCAAAAAGAACGAAGCTGGAGGCATCATATTACCTGACTTTACATTATACTACAAGGAAATAGTAAACAAAACACTTCTGTACTGGTATACAGTTAGACACATAGATCAATGGAACATAATAGAGAACCTATAAATAAAGCCACATGCCTACAGCCAACTGATCAACAAAGTTGACAAAAACATACACTGGGGAAAGGATGCCCTTTTCAATAAATGGTGCTGGGAAAATCTAATAGCCACATCCCAAAGAATAAAACTGAACCTATATATCTCACCATATACAAAAATTAACTAAACATAGATTAAAACTTAAATGTAAGACCTGAAACCATAAAAATTCTAGAAAAAAATAGGAAAAACTCTTCTGGACATTGGTCTAGGCAAATAATTCATGACTAAGACCTGAAAGGTGAATAAAACAAAAACAAAAATAGAAAAATGGCACTTAACTAAACTAAGAAGTTTCTGCATAGAAAAATAAACAATCAACAGGGTGAATAGACAACCTACAAAATGGAAAAAAATATAATGTAAACTATATGTCCAACAAAGGACTAATATCCAGAACCTACAGGGAACTAAAAATAGCAGCAACAACAACAACAACAACAAAACAAATGACCCCATTAAAATGTAGGTAAAGAACATGAACGAACACTACTGGGGGAACCCACCCCCAATATTTCAATGTAGGTTCTATTTTCCATAAGTGTCAGCCCCTGAGAAATAAAGAGAGACAGTATAAAGAGAGGAATTTTACAGCTGGGCCGCCAGGGGTGACATCACATATTGGTAGGACTGTGATGCCCGCCTGAGTCTCAGACCAGCAAGTTTTTACTAAGGGTTTCAAAAGGGGAGGTGGTGTAAGAACAGGGAGTAGGCACCAAGATCACATGCTTCAAAGAACAAAAAGCAGAACTACTAAGGGTCTAACAAAGATCACATGCTTCTGAGGGAACAGAACAAAGGGCAAAAGCAGAACCACTGATAAGGGTCTATGTTCAGCAGTGCATGTATTGTCTTGATAAACATCTTAAACAACAGAAAACAGGGTTAAAGAGCAGAGAACCAGTCTGACCACAAATTTACCAGGGCGGAGTCTTCCCAACCCTAGTAAGCCTGAGGGTACTGCAGGAGACCAGGGCATATCTCAGTCCTTATCACAACTGCGCCAGATAGACATTCCAAGAGCGACCGTTTATAGACCTCCCCCGAGGAATGCATTCCTTTCCCAGGGTATTAATATTAATATTCCTTGCTAGGAAAATAATTTAGCAATATCTCTCCTACTTGCACGTCCATTTATAGGCTCTCTGCAGGAAGAAAAATATGGCTCTTTTTGCCCGACCTCGCAGGCAGTTGGACTTTATGGTTGTCTTCCCTTGTTCCATAAAAATCTCTGTTATTCTGTTCTTTTTCAAGGTGCACTGATTTCATATTGTTCAAACACACGTTTTACAATCAATTTGTACAGTTAACACATTATCACAGTGGTCCTGAGGTGACGTACATCCTCAGCTTACAAAGACAACAGGATTAAGAGATTAAAGACAGGCATAAGAAATTATATAAGTATTATTTGGGAACTGATAAATGTCCATATTAAGATGAAATCTTCACAATTTATGTTCCTGTGCCGCGACTCCAGCCTGTCCCTCCATTCGGGGTCCCTGACTTCCCGCAACAGAACACTTTGCAAAAGAAAACATGCAAATGGCCAACGAGCATATAAAAAAATGCTCAACATCTCTAATTAGCAGAAAAATGGGAAATTAAAATCATAAAGAGATGTCATTTACACCAGTCAGATTGGCTATAATTAAAAAGTCAAAAAATAACAGATGTTGAAGAGGATGCAAATAAAAGGAAAGACTCATACACTGTTGGTGGTGAAGTACATCCATTGAAAACAGTATGGAGATTTCTCTAAGAACTAAAAATAGAACTACCATTCCATCCAACAATCTCACTACTGGGCATCTACATAAGGGAAAAGAAATCATTATATGAAAAAGATACTGGCACTCATATGTTTACCACAACACTATTCACAATAGCAAAGATATGGAATCAAAATAAATGTCCATCAATGGATGATTGGAAAAAGAAAATTTTATATATACACACACAGACATATATATATATATGTATATGTATATGTATATATACACATACATCATGGAATATTACTCAGCCATAAAAAATAATGCAATTGTGTCTTTTGCAGCAATATAAGTGGAATTAGAGGCCATTATTTTAAGTAAAATAATTCAGAAACAGTATGTCAAATGTTGCATTTTCTCACTTATAAATCAAAGCTCAATATTGTGTACATATGGACACAGAGAGAGGAATAATAGAGGCTTGGAAAGGTGAGAGGGTGGGAGAAACGTGAGGGATGAGAAATAACCTAATTAGTACAATGTGTACTGTTTGCATGATGGTTACATTAAAAGTACATACTTCACTACTATGCAATGTGTCCATGTATCAAAACCCCTAAATCTATAAACATTAAAATAAAAAATAAATACATATAATTACCTCTAAAAGGAGGATATTGTAATTAAACAAATGTGGCTGGAAAGACTATAAAATCCCCCATGAGATCAAGAAGACAGTAAAGGAAGATCTAGCAGAGTTGTTTTATGTATTAAATTGTGGTGATAAAGAATAAGCTTTCTTGTTTGGATCTCCACCAAGTCCTGCCTATTAAATAAATGGGTTGAATTTGGAAGATCATACCAACTGTGTTTCTATTTTTCTAATATTTTTCCTTTAATTTCTGGACCAAAGCCTGTGTTCCCCAAGAAGCATCTTTTGACGCCAGTCCTGAAAAATTTCCTCTGAACTCTTGTTGTGTCAGTTACCAATACCATTCACATGACTCTTTGCCTATGCTGACTGCTATGTTTTATTATTTACATGTAGTATCTATACTCTGTTTCCCCAACTGATTGGTGAGGCCCAGTGAAGGGGAAGGAAACCATCAGTTCTTCAGTTCCTACTCTGTACTAGTAGCTATATATTTAATACATTACTTTATCTACTTTTCACAGTAACTTCTTGCAGCTGGTATTATCTTTACTTTTTACAGGTAAAGAAACTGAAGTTTAGTGAACTTATATAATTTGCTCAAGGACAAATTCAGAATAGTTTGACACTAGAACTAGTGTCAAATTATTTTACCAGTATTTTAAAGTAAGAGTCTTTTTGCTTCTTTTACATAGTATATGCTTAGCCCTGCTTCTTGAACCATGTATATGTGTACTAATGTCTCTTAAGGATGATAAAGTATTCCTTATTATCAGTACGCTTTCGAAGTGCCTAAATATCTAAATATCTACACTTTTTCTAGAGTTTCAAATAACATTCATTACAAGGTAAATAATTTTCTGGTGAAAATACATTTTTATGTAATAAAATGCAATCATGTAAAAGATATTGAAGACCACAACAAAACTGCATGTCTGATTTTGTGATGAATTTTGCCTAGTTTCTGTTATTTTGATACATATGTGAGATATATATATATATATATATATATCCTATCTTACTTAAGTTCGCCATGTTATTTAAGTTCGGAAAAAGTATACAACTAAATCAAAGACCTTGCCTTTAGGTGTTTCCCTTATTTCCCTCAAATTTTGCATTAAAAAATATAAAATTGAATTTGCTTTAAATGTAGCCATAAGAACTTTTGTTATCCTTTCTGTTGATACGGATCACAGTCTTTCAGAATAACTGGTGAAAGCATGAGTTCGAGAAGTCCAGTTTTTATGTGATATCTACGGACTTCATGGGACAAATGGGAGGATACTTTTAACCTTCACGATCAATAGGAGTTTAGAAATAGGCTAAAAATCGATAGGAGTTTAGAAATAGGCTAGAAAACCAAAAACTTAATTAAAAATAAAAATGGCCAGGGGTGGTGGCTCATGCCTGTAATCCCAGCACTTTGGGAGGCTGAGGTGGGCAGATCACCTGAGGTCAAGAGTTCGGGACCAGTCCGGCCAACATGATGAAACCCTGTCTCTACTAAAAATACAAAAATTAGCCAGGCATGTTGGCGCATGCCTGTAATCCCAGCTACTCCAGGGGCTGAGGCAAGAGAATCGCTTTAACCTGGGAGGGGAATGTTGTAGCTAGACAAAATCGCGCCACTGCTCTACAGCCTGGGTGACAGAGTGAAACTCCGTCAAAAAAAAAGACAATTCACATGTAGTTTGGAAAACAAATCCCAGCCCTGACAGAGGAAATGGGATAGAGGAAGATGACACCTGCAAATTACTAAATTTTTACACAGAGCATAAAATATATATAAATCAGTAGCATTTTGTCATTTGGGGTAGATACAGGAAGTAGCCATCAATCTGAAGAAAACACAGTAAATTTTATCAATTTTCTAAAGCTTCAAACTTTTTGTATATTCTCAAGTAATAATCATATATAAGTTTCTTTTCTTTTTCTTCATTGAGTGTCAATCCACACCTATAGGCTAGAGCTAGATCATTACTCTGTTTTCTCACTGAATTATTTTGAGACCCACCTAATCTAAAAGTTTACATTTTCTTCCCCCTCCACACACCCCCAGGCAATCGATTCACAAGCAGCAGCCAGAATGACTCTGTTTTAAGTCAGTTCATATCATTCCTCAGCTCATAACATCCAATGGATTAATGACTTTCATGCAAAATAGAAGACCAAGTACTTTCCACGTGCTACAGAGCTCCACAGGATCTAAAATTCCATTAGCTTTGGAACCTCATCTTTGATTCCTCTCTCTTCTCGCTCACTTTTTTTATTTTTCCAACCGCATGAACCTTGTTCTTTCTGTATCATGGTAGAAATGCTCTCATCTCAGGAACTGCCTGACCCCTCTATCTGAAACGCTCTAACTCCAGATATCCTCATGGATATCTCCCTCAAACCCTTTTAACCTTTGTACAGTAATTTTCCATATCACTTAGGTCTGCCTTAATCAAACTATTTAAAATAGCGTGTGAGCACACACACACACACACACACACACACACCCTTCATCACCATCTATTCTTTTTACCTAACTTAATTATTCTCCACACCTCTTTGTCCTTTTAATATTTTATATAACGATCTTGCCTCTTATGTTTATTGTCTATCTCATTCCCACTAAAATATAAAACTTCATGAGGAAAGAGATCTTTGTCTATTTTTCGTTCAGTCTTCTAATACCTAGGCTAATATATGTCATATACTAGCAACTCAATAAATAATTACTTGATCAACTTTATTAGCTATTGTAAAATAAAATATAAAAAAATCTATTGCTGGGCTTTGGGATTCTAATGTATTAAAATGCATGGCTACATAAATAGATTAATTATACAGATTTTAGTGTTGAGAGAGGCATTATCCTGTAAAATGGTTAATTTACAGCGAGTGCAGAAGTACAGGAAGAATCAGGCTCAGTTATAATATTAATAAATTAACAAATGTTGACTTATAGTACAATAGAGAGGAGCTCTTAACTCAGGCAGATGAGGATTTGGATACCTAGACTACCACTAACTTTCTGAGAAATCTAAGGTATGTTCATGAGCTCTAAAGTGGCTCAGTTTCTTATCTGTACAATGACAATAATAATATAAGGATGTTGTAAAGCAATATAACACATGTATTCTTGGAGAATTTGTATTACTGACAAGAACTCTTTCTTATTAATAAGAGCTCTTTATATAGTAAGTATATTTTACCTTCTATATTTGTTGCATATAATTTTTTCCCTGCCTGTCATTGCTTTTAGCTTTTTCTAACAGATATTTTTATTACATTCAGGCTTTTCAACCTCAAACAATTTTCTCCATTTACCCAATTCATTTATCATTAAATCATTTTTATTCCTATATGTGCTTCACATTTCTTATAATTACCTAGTACTTTAAACTTTTTTTACAATAACAAAAAATATTTTAGTAAAACATAAGATTTACAGAAGTTTCCAGACAAGCCATACAAAATGGTCACAAGCTTATTTTGAAGGGGGGACTCTACACTTGACAGCAAAGTCACAATGTTATTAGTGAGGGCAGTGATGCTTGTTAAATGTTCCCATTTTGGTTCAAACAATCAAGCTTGTCCATCTACAGTGTCTAAATAAAGTTAGACTTGGATAGAGAGCATATTTCTAAAGAACTGGTTAGCTGCTTTTAACCAATCCAATTAGATCACCAAAAAGGCGGGGAAAGGAGCCCATAAAATTAAAATAAAACTACTTACCCCCCTCAAAAAAATAAAATAAAGAAAAACACCCACACCCTTGCAGCTAACCTGACAACTACCTTCATTCACAGTGCTTTATACTTAAACCAGGATGGGGGAAATGAATAAAAGCAGGGAGGGACCACTGCTTTTAAACGTTTCACAACAATCCGGATGATACGTCTAGCCTCTGCTCATGCTTTATGACAGTGAATCAGGACAAGACATAGATTTGCTAATGTACATTTAATCACCAAATAACTGAAGATGTCTGGGTTTTTTTATTCTGTAATGTTTCTAAGACTATGTCCATTAAATGCAAGCAAAAAGGAAGAAGTCTTGGCAGAACAGGAGAAGTGATGCACACTTAATGATTGGATCAATTTAAATACTATTCATGGCATATAGCCTAGTCCATGCTCTAGCTGTTTCAATGGCTTGGGCTTCGTTGGTCTTCCACTGCTCCACTACATCATTTGCTAATGGATCATCTGGATTGGGAGCATTTAACAAGGCCTGGATCGATAGCAGAACTGTGCGGATCTGCAGGGCTGGGGACCACTTATCTTTCAAAATATCTAAACTTATTCTTTCCAACTTGTCTACATTTGGATGATAAATTTTGGTCATGAAACGTACTTTAGGGGCTGCCATTGGGTATTCTTCTGCAAGTAATAGTTCACGTTTAAAAGTCCCTCCCTCAAAGGGGGAATCCTTTGATTCCCCAGCAATGACCACATGAAAATAACGGGCGTTGCTTTCATCTGGTTCTGCTTTGATGCCAGGAACTGGCTCTGCCAGCAAACGCTGGGTTTCCTTGATGATCCTGTGGGGCAGCTCGGCCATCAGAACCTGAGTTCGGCCTCTGGTCTCATCCAGTACTTTATACTTTTATTTCTACTTAAAATGTAATATCATTTAATCATGTATTAAACAGCTATATACGAAATATATGTGCATGGGATTTTAAAACAATTTTTAATCTCACCATGTTAATGAACCATCTTGTAGTTTGAAACTAAGGTCAAGTTATTTTTCGGCCAGGCGCAGTGGCTCAAGCCTGTAATCCCAACACTTTGGGAAGCCGAGGCGGGTGGATCACGAGGTCAGGAGATCGAGACCATCCTGGCTAACATGGTGAAACCCCGTCTCTACTAAAAATACAAAAAAATAGCCGGGCGTGGTGGCTCACGCCTGTAATCCCAGCTACTCGGGAGGCTGAGGCAGGAGAATGGCGTGAACCCGGGAGGCGGAGCTTGCAGTGAGCCGAGATCGCACCACTGCACTCCAGCCTGGGCCACAGAGCGAGACTCCGTCTCAAAAAGAAAGGCAATTTTCTTAAATTTTCCAGATTGAACATCATATTATTTGAGTACATTTTTGTCTTTTTTGAGAATTTTTATTTTTCTCTATAATAAATATAACTTACAAAGTTAAATTTTAGAGATGATAGGAACTATATTCTTGTTTCTCTAGAATTTAATAAGAACATTTTATATTCTATCTTTAAGTTGTATTTGCTTCATAAGTAAATTTTAGATAGATATGATTCATCATATGAATCTAAGAATATTTATGTTTTTCATTAACTATATTATATGAGGGATAGACACAAATTCTTTTTACATATGCCTCACTGGACTCTACCAAGATGATCATATGGTTTTGCTTCCTTTTCTCTTGATGTGATGAACTACATAAGTAGAAGTTTCAAGAATAAAAAAACACCCTACTAGTTCACAATGGATTGCTCTTTAATTATAGCTCTGTGTTAGAATTAGTAGTATTTTATTCAGTGCAAGTATTTCTGTGTGTAGAAATAAGATTAAAACAATGAATAATATTTTGCATTTTGCTTCAAGGAGATATTATGTTTACAAAATGAGTTAAGTTCAAAAAGAGCTCATAGCTTTTTGAGTCCTATAACACCATAAATGGGTGATAATTAGTTACTCCATAATACGTTCAAATAAATCACCTCCTATAAAACCTCTGGAGTGGGTACCATTTTTAAATGTGGCCCTTTTTCTCTTATTTTAATTTAAATCAATTAATAATAATTTAATTTTTCTATTTCTTGAAAACATTTGCATGAATTACCTTTTTCCTAGAAACATCATCAATTTCAAGACTTTTAACTTTATTAGTATAAAGTTTGATATAGCTAGTTATCATAATTTTACATTATTTGTGGTTATATTAACATTTATAAGTTTGTATGTATGTGCTTTATCTCTTTTGTCCACTTATCAGGTTTCCTAGAAATTGTTATTCTAATTGAAATTTTAACAAACAGTTACATAGTATTAAAAATTAATTCTATGATTTTATATTTTTTATCAATTTTATGTTTTATCTTTTAAAATTCATACTTTAATATTTTTCTCATTGCTATTTTATAATTATTACCTTTAATGTTTACATATTATAGCTCCTTTTTTTGTTTTACTTTGTAGTGAAGTCAAATGAAGCTAATTATATTTTACTGAACACTGTGACTATTTATGGCTTGGCCAGTTACATTTTAGCAAACACCACTTCAACCCCATGATGAAGATCTGACACCTAATTTTCTCCTTGGATTTCTTTTTAGAATTATCTATAACTACAGTTATAATTTCTTCTTTGACCTAAAAAATAATTTTGTAAAACATTTTCTCTTTTATCTATTTGGGTATTTCATTTTAATTCACATCATTATTTTTAAATATAAGCACATTATGGTCCCAATGTGTGGCCTTTCTTAAACCTGAATTTTAGAATTTATTGAAATTTCTATATAGCGCAATTCACAGAAACTCACAAAATTGATATCTGTATGCCAGAAAGGAATTTTGCAATTAGATGGATAAATGGAAAAACAGATTTACACATAAAACATTCCATTAATTAAATAGAATTTAATTTTATTCAGTGGAACGTAGAATTGTTCAGTCACTAAATCTATATCATTTGTGTTTACCAATTTCATTTAGCAAACATATAGCAAGCTGTGTAATGCACTCCATGTATGATTGCATTTTGTCATTTTCTACTATGCATATAAATTTATATTTTACATTTTGATGAAATATTATTCAGTACATAAATAATTATTATCGTGATACCTGAGTTGTTTTGTCTGACTTTCAAATATAAGGTAAACATTTTATTCCCTTTCAATGCTTTTAGGCTTGTCCTCAACTTTGTAATAGCATTAAAATATCTGTTTTCATTTTGCTATGTTTTCCATGATGTTTCTGCCTAGATTTTGCTAAATTTTTTTTGAAATGTATGTTTTATGTGTTTCTCTTTGTATTAGTCTAGACAGGCTGTTTTTTTTTTTTTTTTTGGAAACAACTAAAAAAACCTCAATTTCTGAACACAATACCTCATTTCTAGAACATTTCCTTCACCATAACATATACTCACAAGGTTTCATTGAGACGCAAGGGGAAAGAGTGCTGGGAAATGTGGGTTTTTAGTGTTGCAAGGTGAGGAACATTGTTTCTGCCATAGTCTGTCATTCTGTTCATCAAAGGTCCATTCACTCTCCTTCCTTTTTTTTTCAAAGCTGTTTGCTTAGGATGGCTTTATTAATTAAAGCTCTTTTTTTGGCTCCAAATTAATTTTATAGTAGATTTTTCTAATTCTGTGAAAAATAATGTTGGCATTTTGATTGAGATAGCATTGAATCTGTATATTGCTTTGGGCAGTAGGGCCATTTTAACTACATCCACCATGGAATTTTTCTTATTTATTTGTGTCATCCCTGATTTCTTTCAGCAGTGTTTTGTAGTTTTTTTTTTTTTTTTGTAGAGATCTTTCACTCCTTGGTTAGATGAATTCCTGGGTATTTCATTTTCTTTGGGGCTATAGTAAATGGGATCATGTTCTTGATTTGACTCTCAGCTAGAATGTTACTCGTGTATAAAAATGCTACTGAATTTTTTACATGGATTTTGTATCCTGAACCTTTACCTAATCTATTAATCAGCCCTAGAAGCCCTTTGGTGTGGTCTTTAGGGTTTTCTATGTATGGAATTTTATTGTCAGCAACGAGATAGTTTAACTTCTTTTCCTATTTGAATGGCTCTTTTTTCTTTCTCTTTCCTGATTGCTGTGTGTGGATAGAATTTCCATTACCATGTTGAATGAAAGTGGTAAGAGTGGACACATTTGTCTTGTTCTAGTTCTCAAGTGCAAGGCTTTCAGCTTTTGCCCATTTAGTATGATGTTGCCAGTGGCTTTGTCACAAACATCTCTTGTTATTTTGATGTACTTCCTCCAATGCCTAATCTGTTGAGGATTTTTATCATGAAGGAATGTTGGATTTTATTGAAGGTTGTTTTTGCATCTACTGAGATGAGTGTATGAGATTTGTTTTTTATTCTGTTTATGTGGTGAATCATATTTACTGATTTGCATGTGGTGAACTAACTTTCCATCCCAGAAATAAATCTTACTTGGTCATGGTGAATTAATGTTTTGATGTGCTGCTGGATTCAGTTTGCTGAATGAAGCTGGAGGCATCACACTATCCAACCTCAAACCATACTATAAGGTTACAGTAATCAAAAAAGCATGGTACAAGTACAAAAACAGATGCATAAACCGGTGGAACAGAATAGAAAACACAGAAGTAAACCTACACAACTACAACCATCCGATTTTCCACAAAATCTACTGAAATAAGCATTGACAATAAGAGTGCCTATTCAATAAATAGTGCTGGGATAACTGGCTAGTCATATGCAGAATAATGAATTGGACCCCTACCTCTTACCATATATGAAAATTAACTCAAAATGGATTAAAGACTTAAATGTAAGAGCTCAAATTATAAAAATGCTAAAACAAAACCTAAGAAACACCTTCTTAACAAGTTTTGGCAAAGAATTTGTGGCTAAGTCCCCAAGAGCAATTACAACAAAAACGAAAAGTAATAAGTGGCACCTAATTCAACTAAAGAGCTTTTGCACAACAAAAGAAGTTACTGACAGTAAACAGACAGGCTACGGAATAGGAGGATATAATCACAAATTATGCATCTGATAAAGGTCTAATATCAAGAATCTACAGGGAACTTAAATCAACAAGGAAAGAACAAAAATATCCACTTAAAATGGCAGAGAATATGAACAGACACTTCTTAAAACAAGGTGTACAAGCAGCCAACAGCATATAAAAATGCTCAACATTGGCCAGATGCAGTGGCTCACGCCTGTAATGCCAGCACTTTGGGAGGCTGAGGCAGGTGTATCACAAGGTCAGGAGTTCAAGACCAGCCTGGCCAAGGTGGTGAAACCCCGTCTCTACTAAAAATACAAAAATTAGCTGGGCTTGCTTGCGGGCGCCTGTAATCCCAGCTACTCAGGAGGCTGAGGCAGAGAATTTCTTGAACCCGAGAGGTGGAGGTTGCCGTGAGCCGAGATTGTGCCACAGCACTCCAGCCTAGGCAACAGAGCAAGGCTCTGTCAAACAAACAAACAAAAAAAAAAAAAAAAAAAGAAAGTTTTGCTGTTGTTGTTTTCGTAAGTGCCATTTGGCACTGTATGTAATTTCCCATTCACAAAAATTTCTCTCTCAGCCTTCTGTAGATCTGGTTCCTCTAGTGTTCAAAAATTATAGAAATGAAAATAAAAGGAAAAAAAAGAACTGAATTTGATCATTTGCTGTCAATCTGTTTTTCTCAACTGAACTGTTTGTAGGAATAAAAAATCAGTCTTACAAATGCAAGAATTTTCCCAAAATAAGTCTAAATTTTGTTTTGTATTATTTGCCCAATTCATGAGACACACTTGCATTAATCATATTTGGCTCTTTTTGACCACAGGAATATTTTCTTCAACACTTTTTTATTGTTAATTTCATTAATTTAATTTGTCATCTCAATATTTTCTCTGCTTTCTGGGCTTCATATTATGTTTAATTTGGATTTCTACAATCGTTTCTGTGTATCTTTTAGAGGCTATTTTATTATTTTAACCTGTTAATTCCTTTCTTCACAATCATGTTTGATGAATAAAATTTCCAGGCCTTGGGGTATACACATTTACAAACTAACATTTTTTTTCCAAATAGCTCTCTCAAGTTACGATATCAATTTTATATTTCCACAAGGAGTATATGAACCTTCCTGTTTCAACACATGCTCACCATTTCTTGGTAATATTAAGCTTACAATTTAAATTGTCCTATATGTACAGTGAAAAAAGGTAACTTGTACATTCAGTTGTCCTTTTTGCTGAGTTCAATTTTATGTAATTTACCCATTTTTAATATTTATATATTTTTGACTTAGGCATCAGAAAGATTGTTTCAATATACTTGATATTAACATTTTGTTTGCTAAATATGTTTAAGTATATTGTTGTCATTTAAATTTGTTTTTCAGTAACTTCAGTAACTTCTTTCATTTATTTGTGGGTTTTCTGTTCCTTATCTAAGAAATTTTATCATAGTTAGAAAAAATTACTGAATACTATTTCTTAATAATTTTGAAGATTTTCTTATTTGTCTGGGATCAATTTTTGCATATGATATTTGGTAAAGATCTAATATTGTAATTTTTTCAATTGGAAAACAATTTATCCCAACATAATATACTGAAAGTTTATTCTTTCCCCACTGATGTAGAAAGTTAATTCTATTATATATTCAATTGTTGTATATACCTTGATGAATTTCTGAGTTCTATCATCTAAAATATTGATTAATTTGCCTCTTTCTTCACCTACGTTACTTTAATTACAAGAGTTTAAAATGAAAGTACTTTATAAATACTTTTATATTTTTGAAGAATATTTTAGACCTTTATAATTCTACATATATAGCTTCATAATGAGGCTTTGATTCAAATTGCATTAAATTTATTGTAAAGTGAAATAATACCTTTTTCATGTTGTTTTCTCATCCATCAAACTGATACGTCTCTCTACGTATCTAAGGTTGCCCTTACTGTCACTCAGTGTTTTGTGATTTCCTTTGTCAAAATCATGAGTGTACTTTATTAGATTTACTCCTAAATAATGTGTGTATATGATATTATAATAAGACATTTTTTGTATCATAATTTCTAAGAGTCTTGTTAATCTATAGAAAAAATATCCATTTTTGTTGACCGAGCATGAACCCAGAAATTCTCCCAAATTATTTCTTGTAAAATTTTATTTACTTGCCGGGCGTGGTGGCTCACGCCTGTAATCCCAGCACTTTGGGAGGCCGAGGCGGGTGGATCACGAGGTCAGGAGATCGAGACCATCCTGGCTAACACGGTGAAACCCCGTCTCTACTAAAAATACAAAAAATTAGCTGGGCGTGGTGGCGGGCGCCTGTGGTCCCAGCTACTCAGGAGGCTGAGACAGGAGAATGGCGTGAACCCAGGAGGCGGAGCTTGCAGTGAGCTGAGATGGCGCCACTGCACTCAGCCTGGGCGACAGAGCGAGACTCTGTCTCAAAAAAAAAAAAATTTATTTACTCATTTCTATTTTTATTTTTCAGCTTTATTTAGGGATAATAGATGAATGAAAATTGTACCTGTTTACAATGTACAAACTGATGATTTGATATATATACACATTGGAAAATGATTACCACAATCAAGCTAATTAACATACCCATCACCTCACATAGTTACCATCTTACCATCTTTGTGTCTATGTATGGTCTGAAAATTTAAGATTTATTCTCCTGGCAAATATCTAGTATACAACACAGTATTATTAACTATAGTCACCATACTGTACATTAAATCTCCAGAACTTATTCATCCTGCATAACTGAACCTTTGTACCCTTTGACCAAAAGCCCTCTATTTCTTCACTCCCTCAACCCCCAGCAAACATCATTCTACTCTCTGCTTCTATAAGTTTAACTTTTTTAGATCCCACACATAAGTCAGATCATTCAGTATTTGTCTTTCTGTGTCTGGCTTATTATATTTGCATAATATCCTCCAGTTTCATCCACATTGTTGCAAATGACAGCATTTCCTTTCTTAAGGCTGCATAATATTCTATTGTATGTGTATATATGTATTAGTCTGTTTTCATGCTGCTGATAAAGACATAACCGTGATTGGGCAATTTACAAAAGAAAGAGGTTTATAATGGACTTACAGTTCCACAAGGCTGTGGAAGCCTCATAATCATGGCGAGAGGCAAAGAGGAGCATGTCACTTCTTACATTGATAGCAGTAGGCAAAAAGAAAGAGCTTGAGAGAGCTTGTGCAGGAAAACTCCCCCTTACAATAACCATCAGATCTTGTGAGACTTACTATTATAAGAAAAGAACAGGAAAGATCTGCCCCCATAATTCAATCACCTCCCACCGGGTTCCTCCCACGACACATAGGAAATGTGGGAGTTACAACTCAAGATGCGATTTGGTTGGGGACACAGCCACCATATCATTCTGCCCCTATCCTTTCCCAAATCTCATGTCCTCACATTTCAAAACTGATCGTGCCTTCCCAACAGTATTTCAGAGTCTTAACTCATTTCAGCATTAACTCAAAAGTTCACAGTCCAACGTCTCATCTGAAACAAGGCAAGTCCCTTCTGCCTATGAGCCTATAAAATCAAAAGCAAGCTAGTTACTTCCTAGATACAATGGGAGTACAGGCATTGGATAAGTACAGCCATTCCAAATGGGAGACATCGTCCAAAACAAAGGGGCTACAGGTCCCATGCAAGTCTGAAATCCCGAGGGGCAGCCAAATCTTAAAGCTCCAAAATGATCTCCTTTGATTCCAATTCTCACATCCAGATCACACTGATGCAAGAGGTGGGTTTCCATGGTCTTTGGAAGCTCCGCCCCTGTGGCTTTGCAGGGTATGGCCTCCCTCCTGGCTGCTTTCACAGGCTGGCATTGAGTGTCTGCAGCTTTTCCAGGCCCACAGTGCAAGCTGTCAGTGGATCTACCATTCTGGGGTCTGGAGGACGGTGGCCTTCTTCTCACAGGTCCACTAGGTGGTGCCCCAGTAGGAAGTCTGCATGGGGGCTCCGACCCCACATTTCTTATCTACACTGCCCTAGCAGAGTTTCTCCATGAGGGCCCAAGCCTTGCCCCTGCAGCAAACTGTTGCCTGGGCATCCAGACCTTTCCATGCATCTTCTGAAATCTAAGTGGAGATTCCCAAACCTCAATTATTGACTTCTGTGAACCTGCAGGATCAACACCACATGAAAGCTGCCAAGGCTTGGGGCTTCCACCCTCTGAAGAAACAGCCTGAGCTGTACCTTGGTCCCTTTTAGTCATGACTGGAGTTTCTGTGATGCAGGGCACCAAGTCCCTAGACTGCACACAGCATGGGGACCCTGGGCCTCGCCCATAAACCATTTTCTCCTAGGCCTCCAGGCCTGTGATGGGAGGGGCTGCCATGAAGACCTCTGACTTGCCCTGGAGACATTTTCCCCATTGTCCTTGGGATTAACATTAGGCTCCCTGTTACTTATGCAAATTTCTGCAGCCTGCTTAAATTTCTCCTCAGAAAATTGGTTTTTCTTTTCTATCACATTGCCAGGCTGCAAATTTTCAGAACTTTTATGCTCTGCTTCCCTTATAAAACTGAATGCCTTTAACATCACCCAAGTTAGCTCTTGAATGCTTTGCTGCTTAGAAATTTCTTCTGCCAGATACCCTAAATCATCTCTTTCAAGTTCAAAGTTCCACAAATCTCTAGGGCAGGGGCAAAAAGCCACCACTCTCTTTGCTAAAACATAACAAGAGTCACCTTTACTGCAGTTCCCAACAAGTTCCTCATTTCCATCTGAGACCACTTTGCTCTGGACTTTATTGTCCATATCACTGTCAGGCTTTTGGTCAAAGCCATTTAACAAGTCTCTAGGAAGTTCCAAACTTTTCCACATTTTCTTGTCTTCTTCTGAGCCCTCCAAACTGTTCCAACCTCTGCCTGTTACCCAGTTCCACAGTCACTTCCATATTTTCAGGTATCTTTTCAGCAGCGCACCACTCTCCTGGTACCAATTTACTGTATTGGTCTGTTTCCAGGCTTCTGATAAAGACATACCCAGGATGGGGCAACTTACAAAAGAAAGAGGTTTATAGTGGACTTAGAGTTCCACGTGGCTGGGGAAGCCTCATAATCATTGCAGAAGGCAAGGAGAAGCAAGTCACATCTTACATGGATGGCAGCAGGAAAAAAAATAGAGAGCTTGTGCAGGAAAACTCCCCCTTATAATAACCATCAGATCTCATGAAACCTACTACCATTAGAACAGAGGAGGAAAGACCTGCACCCATAATTCAATCATCTCCCACTGGCTTCCTCTCATGATACATGAGAATTGTGGGAGTTACAATTCAAGATGGGATTTGGTTGGGGACACAGCCAAACCATATCAATATACCATATATTTTTCAATATACCCCATCTGTTGAGGGAAAGCTAAGTTGATTCCATATCTTGGATATAGTGAATAATGCTGGAATAAATATAGAAATGAAGATATATGTTCAATATACTAATGTCATTTCTTTTGGAGATATATATATATATATATATATATATATATATATATATATATATACACACACACACACACACACACACACAGAAGTGGAATTGCTGGATATATGACAGCTCTATTTTTAATTTTTTGACTAATCTCCATAATGCTTTCCATAATGGTTGTACCAACTTACATTTCCACCAACCGTGTACAACGTCTCACTTTATTTTACATCTTTATGTTATCCATCTTTTTGATAATAGCCATTTCAACTGGTATAAGATGGTATCTCTCTGTGGTTTTTATTTGTGTTTCTTTGATGATTAGTGATTTTGATTCTTTTTTTCATATACCTGTTGGCCATTTGTATTCCTTTTATGGAGAAATTGCTATCCAAACACTTTGCTTATTTTTTAATCAGGTTACTTGTTTTCTTTTTGCTGAGTTATCTGAGTTTCTTATATATATTGGATATTAACCACTTGTCAGATGCAAAGTTTGCAAATATTTTCTCCCATTCTTTAGGTTGTCTCTTCACTCCATTGATTGTTTCCTTTGCTGTGCAGAGCTTTTTAGTTTGATCTAGTCTCACTTGTTTATTTTTGCCTTTGTTGTCTGTGTTCTAGAGGTCATATCCAAAAAAAAAATTGCTTTTTCCTGTTTTCTTCTAGTTGTTTCATAGTTTCATGTCTTATGTTTAAGTCTTTAATCCATTGAGCATCACTGGAGCTTTATTTTGTCCATTTGCTGTCATCATGTTTTTTTTATTGATCTTGATGCTTGTGGCCATGTGTCAATGTCTGCATGTCGATATTCTTACCTAATCCAGTGTTTGCAGCCTGGCTTTGTTTGGTAACTTTCTTCCGCAGCAGGTTTGTCCAGTGATTCAATGTAGGTTGACTGGTGATATCCTTAAATCCATTACGATTTCAGCAGTTGCAGTTCCCTGAGGTGCCCGAAAGCCTAGAATTGCTGGGTCCATAATATTTGGCTGCTGAGGCTGACACAGTGCTGAGTCACACCAGAAACCGTGGCTGCCAAGACCAGCACAGCACTGGAGTGTGCCCAAGACCCACAGCTGCTATAGTCTGCCCACCACCGAGGTTTATTCAGGGTCTGAGGCTGTTGCAGTCAGCTGGTGGTCATGTGGGTCAGATCTCAAGTTTGCCTTACCAGGGCCACAGGTTCCCATCTGGCCCTGGGACCACAGGATTTTGTCTCATGTTGGGGCAGGTCTAGAGGTTTTGTTCATGTATATTGGCCTGGTGCCAGGAGCAGAGGGGTCTAGCCCAGTGCTGGGCTTTACTGTAGTGGGCCCAGTACTGGATTCTAATGCAAAGTCCTATGCTTGCTTCCCTCCTTTTCCTCAAGTAGATGGTATTTCTCTACAAACTGAACTGCCTGAGGTTGGGGAACAGGTGATGCAAAACTTAAATGGTCCTTTCTGCCCTCTTCAATTTGTCTATTCTAATTATTATGCTAAAACCAGGTACCGTAACGTCTCATCTGGTTTTCTTAGCTCTTGTGAAAACTTCTTCATGCATGGATAGTTGTTCAAATTAATGTTTCTATGGCGGAAGGGGAGATAATCGCTGGAGATTCCTACTCCACCATCTTCCCCCACCCCTCTCTGCCTTTTGTAATTTGATACTCTTTTGATAGACATATACATGCTAAGAACTGTTACATCTTTTAGGAGAACGGATGCCTTATCATTATGCAATGTTGGTCTTTATCCCTGCCATTTTATTTGCTTTGAAATCTGTTTTGTCTAAATTTAACAATTATTCCAGTTTTCTTTCAATTAGTGTCAACATGGTATATATATTTTTTACCTCGTTAATTTTAATTCATCTTTGTCTTTATATCTAAAGCAGATTTCTTATAAAAAGCCTGTAGTTGAGCAATTGTTTAAAAAGCCACCATCACAATCACCATCTTTAACATGTGTATTTAGACCATTCCATTCACATTTAAAATAATTACTGATATAAGTTGAAATAATATTTACTATGCTTTAACTTTTTCCTATTCATTGTTCTTTTAATATGTATATTTAGACCAATCATATTACTCAATTCACATCAATGGTGAGTTGACATTACAATATCACCTATGCTTCTTTTTTAACATATTAGTAGTAGTTGCCTTAGAGTTTGCAGTATACATTTACAATTAATCTAAGCAGACTTTTAAATAATATTAAATAGATTCACATGTAGTGCATGTGCCTCATAATGTAGAAATTTCCACACTTCCGTCTTTTCACCTTTGAATAACATTACATGGATTTACCTGTAGTGCAGGTAGCTTACAACAGAGAAATCTCAATTCCACTCCACTATGCCTTATAAAACTCATTTTACTGATTAAGAGGTTATTATCAGACAGTATGTTGTTACCATTAATATTTGAATAGTTATATTACATTTAAAATAAATAATAATATTTAATTTCATTTATTTCTTCTCTGACACATTTTTTCTTTATGTTCTTAAAAGACCTGTATCATCTTTCTGCATGCTGAATACTTTTTTTTTTTTTAACATTTAGTTCATGGCAAGTCTTCTGAAGAATAATCTCTCAGATTTTTTCTGTGCATTAGGTGCTCCAAGAAAACATTTATTTATTATTCACTATTGAAGGATAATTTCAGTGCATATATAAAATTCCATGTTAGGTTAATAGTTTTTTTTATCTTCTAATGCTTTAAATATTTCACTCCACTCTCTTCTTGCTTATGTGGGTTCTGACAAGGAGTCTGCTGTTATTCTTTTTTATTTTATTTTATTTTTATTTTTAAAACCTTTTCTTTTTTTTTTTTCGAGACAGAGTCTTGCTCTGTTGCCCAGGTTGGAGTGCAATGGCGTGATCTCGGCTCACTGCAACCTCCACCTCCCAGGTTCAACCGATTCTCCTGCCTCAGCCTCCCAAGTAGCTGGGATTATAGACGCCCACCACTACACCCGGCTAATTTTTTTTTTTTTTTTTTTGTATTTTTAGTAGAGACGGGGTTTCACCATGTTAGTCAGGCTGGTCTCAAACTCCTGACCTCAGGTGATCCGCCCGCCTGGGCCTCCGAAAGTGCTGGGATTACAGGCATGAGCCACCGTGCCCGGCCTGCTATTCTTAGGCCTTTTCCTCTATAGATAAGGTAATTTCTTTACCCCCACACCCACCACTGGCTTTTATCAAGATTTTGTCCTTGTATTTGGTTTTCTGCAGCTTGAGTATGATATGCCTGGTTATATTTTATTTGATACTTATTCTGTTTGGGATTCTATAAACTTCCTGAATCTGTGGTGTGGTGTTTGTCATTAATTTTGAAAAGTCCTTGGCCATTATTACTTCAAATATTTCTTCTTTTTTTTTTCTTCTCCTTATGGTATTCCAATTTACACACGTTACATGTTTTCAAATTACCCTACACATCTTAGATAGTTTACTGATTTGATTCTTTTTTTCTCTTGTTGCAGTTTGGTAAGTATTAATTGACACATCTTCAAACTCACTAATCCTTTCCTTGGCCATGTCCAGGTCATCAAAATAATTTTTCATTTCTGGTACAGTGCTTCTGATTCTTAGAATTGCCTTTAATTCCTTTCATTTTTTGATTTTCTACTTCTCTGCTGATATTACTCATTTGTTTTTGCATATTATCTCTTTTGTTCATTAGAGCCATCAGTATACGAGTCATAGTTATTTGACATCCCCTGTCTAAAATTCCAATGCGTGTGTCTGGTTCTGATGCTTGCTATGTCTTTTGGAACTGTATTTTTCCTTGCCTTTTACCATTTCTTGTCATTGTTGTTGCCACTGTTGAAAGCCAGATATAATATATCAGCTAATAGAGAACTGAGGCGTACAGGGATCTAGTGTGAGGTTTTATATTAACTTGAATAGGATTTGAGCAATGTTTGATGTTTGCTGTAACCACAGGTGTCAGAGCATTTAAATACCCCTAAAAACATTGTTTTGTTTTCTCTGCTACTTTTTGGTTTCTCCTAATAAATGCTTCACCAATAAAGTCTAGCTTAGCAGCAGTTTCAGCTATACTAAGGTGTGGGAGAGTACAAGCTCTCTTCACTATTATGATTAAATTTCACTCCTTTATTGGTCCTGAACACCAAGGCGATGGCCTTTATGAATTACTTCTGAAGTAATTCATAGCCTTTTATTTCTTCCCTTGCATGAGACAGAATGTCTAGAGATGGGTGGAGTTGGCTGGTTGCTCTCCTTCCATGTTGGATAAAGATCTAGTGAAGTTTTTTCTTCTGTAAAGTAGCTCTTTCTTATAGAGAACACTAGGTGTATTTCCAAGTGGTTACTTTTTCCCTTACTCTGACCAAAGCATGAGGAATTTTATTTTTATCTTCACAATGACAACATGATGAGTTTCTTCAAGTGAATGCCCATGAAACTGTATGACTTCCATAAGACTGGGCCTGCAGGAGATTATCCCTCTGGTGCTAGTCTACACTAAGCCTCCAGCAATTCATCAGTATCACCATTTAATTATTCCTACCAGTTTATTGCTCGAGTTGCTTCTGCTTCAAATAAATTGATCTCAACTGTGATCCTCTGTATTTATCTATGTCTCCAGATTTCAGTTTGGTGGTTTATCCTGTGGCCTCAATTTTATGACGGCTCTAAGAAAGGCATTGGTTTTCAGTTTGCTTAACTTTTTCACTGTTGTAAAAGTGAAAGTGAGAATGTCCAAGTGCTTTACATTTTGGAGCTGAAACCAGAAATACTAATAATCCTAATATTGGCTTATATAATTCAAAGCTATATTATTAGGTACATACTAGTTTATGACTGTCATCTTTTTGGCAGTGTCCCTCTGTATCCCTAATAATGCCTTTTGATTTTCTGTTCTGAATGCATTTTGATTTTCTGTTCTTTTTGAAATTAATAATGCCACACTTCCTTTCTTTGGTTATACTTTGCTTAGAATGTATTTTCTTCCAACCTTTTTAACCATTCTGTATGAATTTGCTTTAAATGTATCTCTTTTAAGAAGAATATAAATAAACTTTCCTCTCATCTGATAGTCACTGTCATGCAGTAGATGGTTTAAACTTTTGCATTTAATGTGATTATTGATGAATCCTAACTTGTTTCTAAATTTTATTTTATTTTTAATTATTATGGTTTTTTTTTCCTCTCTAGCCTTCTACTGAGTTTATGAGACTTTTTTTTACTTCTGCATTTTCCTCAGTACTGATTTTGAGGTTAGTCAGTCTATTTCTGAATGTGCAGAGGTTACCCTTATCTTTTCTGTTGTGGTTGTGGTGGTGATAAGGTTTTGTTTTATCCTTAGTTTTTATAATTCATACTTACATTAGAAAAGTCTAAAGCTTATTAGTACTGAAAATACACAGAACATAGAAATCTTTAAATCCAGTCATTCACTTTGGCTCCATCTTACTCATAGCTTTCATGATAATGTTGTCTAGCATTTTTTACATTTCTAGTTCCAGCTTCTTCTAAGAACATACATTTTCAAGCCCTTCTTTCTTTGTGAGCTCATAGCATATTGGTAGATCATTATTCATGAGATTTGGATAAGTCAAATAAAATCTCACAGTAGTATGTAGGAATTTGTTATCTGCCCAAGATCCTAATCCATAGCCTTGACCAAAAGAGGACCATGGCATTAATAAAATAATACTCGATAGTAAAACACTTTATTTTAGCAAACTACAGTGTAGCAGGGTTTCCTGCAGTCTTAGAGATTGTCTGCTGATAGGAGTTTGAATGTTGCCGGGCTTTCTGAGTGTATAATGAAGAATACGCTTTATCCTACTTCAATTAAAGAGTTCTCTGAAATCCAGAAAAGGGCGCATTTTACTTGAGGCGAAAAAAACAAAGAGGAAAAGACTGCTCAGGATCAACAATAAATTGAGTTTTAGGGGATTTTGATGTTGCTCTGACCTAGAAATTGAATAATATTTATTAGTTTCATTGACTGGGATTGTACTCTGGGTGTATTTTATGCATCAGTATATGTGTTCAGTTTGAACTTTCATATAGAATTTGTTTCTACTCTGTGCTCTACTGTGTATTAGCATTTTCACCTAAAGCAGAATATTCAAAGTTTTCTGAGGTTAGTTTCTTTTAAATGATGAAAGATGACAATACTTGCCCTTAATAATTTACAGAATTGCTGTGAAAGTAAAAAAAAAAAAAAAGGTAGTACAGGATAGTGCTTTCTGAATTATAAACTATTTTGCAAATGTAAAGGAAGGTTACTAAACAGAAAAATAACAAAAAATTGCATGTGATTTTGTCATGTTTCTGATAAGTCCTCCTCTCAGGAATGTAAGAAATATTATAAAATCAGAGGATATTGAAGATGTTTAATGTTCTTCAAACATAAGCTATTCGAAGCAGAATAATGATGAAAGATGAAAAATATCAATGCACCAGAGATGCTAGGTCATTTTTTATTTCTTTATAATTTACCTCTGGTGTAAAAAGCTGGGGATGGGTCTTATTTTATATAGACTGCAAATCTAGACAGATCAGAGATCTGAGGGAAATCTAAATTTAGAACAATTCTATTTTATGTTCAAAAAGTGAGCAAGGAAGATTTTCCCTATAATGTGGTGCCATTAAAGGAGGTACAAAGAAAACTGAGTGAAAAAAAAAGTGATCAAACAGTGGAACATACAGCAAGTATAAGTGGTATCTTTGACTACTCCAATCTAAGCCTCTGATTAGCTTCTTTTAGTTATGAGACTCTTCTTTAGTAATTAATCAGTTATAAAATTTTCTTTTAAGTGTGCATTCCTTATGCTAATTTCTTTTTGCCATTCACAATGGGGTCAAATGCACCGGTGTTTAATCTCGATTAGAGGAGGATTTGGAGATAGAAGACAAATAAATTTAGTAACTGCTATAGGCAGACAATGATAAAGCTCATTTCTGTTAGAAGAAAAAAAATTAGCTGAATTACGTCTAACAGAGTTTAATTGAGCAAGGAATGATTTGCAAATTGGTCAGCCTCTGGAGCCACAACAGGCTCAGTGATTCCAACACAGCTATATAGTGGAAGAAAATTTATGCATAGACAAAGCAAAGTGAGGTACCAAAGATGGAAGTAAGGTACAGAAAGAGTTGATTGGTTATGGCTAGGGGTTTGCCTTATTTGAACATTGTTTGAACAGCTGGCCACCTTTGATTGGCCACAATACAGTAATTGCCATGAGAGTAGGCCGCCCTTTGTTTACAACTTCATTTAGCTTGTAGTTGATGACGTACAGAGAAATTATTAGGCCGACCTTAATATATGTTAGCAGGCAGCTTTAGACTAAACTTCATTTTAAAATTCCCTCCTTTTGTTCATCCTCTCAATTTTGAGAGATTGACCAAAACTTTAACCATTGATGTTACTATCACCATCATAAAAGTACTTATTTGGTCTTGAAACCCACTGGGAAATAGCATACAGTGGGTTTTATAAGGTGAGGACAAGGACATGAGGTTATTTCTTTTGTAAGTATTAGAGTAGAGGATACCTCTTTATGATGGAATGTCCTGTTTATAGAAGAAAAACAAAACCTAGTCTGTTTTAGGATTTATGTGTTTCCTTAAAGTCTGAATTTGATTATGTCACATTTAGTATAAGTGACTCCATTTTGGTTTGGTCTGATCTGTGGGGCCTAGTGCATGAGCTCAGTCCATAACAATGTCCTCTCATAATATGTTTAAAAACTCCCCCTTTTGGTCACATTCTCACTTAGGTGAGAGCATGACCAAAACTTAGAGCCTTAGGCCCACTCTCAGTTACTATCATTTTGGGTTTCTGATCTTAACACATTATTCATACATTACAGTGCCCTCATAGTCACACATTTCTTTCAGCTCTTGTCATTCCACTTGAAGAGAGTGGAATCTCTTTCCACTCTCTTCAACTTTATGGTTCTAAAAATGACTTCATGCAAACATTTCAAGCTTTTGAGAGAATACACTGCACCAGGGAGATGAATATTATGACTATCATGAGGATAATACCAAGAGTTTGGAGTATGCTCCTTAGCCAGGGTCCCCATAAACTAAACCAACTAAAATCAGATAGATCAAAGAATAAGTTAGATAAGGAGTCTACTCACTTTAACTAAGGAGTCTCTTTGTTAATCCCTTACAACTGAATCTCTATAATACCCAATGTGATGCATTTCTCCATGGGCAATAAGATGTGCCAGGAGCTGCACAGATACTTCCCTGTTTAGCCAGTAAGTAATCTAGAGCAATTCTATTATTTAGCATCACATTCATAAGAGAATGTTTTCTTTAAGGTAGCATCTTCTCTAGAACCTATCACGAGGGGTAAATTTCTAATCATTGCCTCATTTACTCCAAACAATGGATAAAATAATCTAAAAAATGAAGCCCTTCTAGAAGAGTGAAGACCTTCTGGCAATGTTTTCTTTGATGCATAATGTAGGTTAAGAAGAGTGGAGCAACATTCTGTTTCTGACTGATTATGAGGCAATGTATGTAACATTAAACTTGCTCACATACATTGGACCTTCAACTTTCATCTGTCAAGGCATAAAGTTATTCATGTATAAGGCTGGCTCGAAAATCCTTCACAAATAAAAGTAAACCCTGTGAGTGCACACAGAAAACCTGTTTTTCTTTTTCTATTGTTCAAAGAGGCATAAGCAAGGGAAAAAAATGAAAGATAAGAGTCTCATGATAGTAGAGAAGTCTCAATCTCTAATCTTGAGAAAAAGCTGTCCCCATCAAGGATGCCATCTTCTTCTGGGGAGAAACCTCACTGGTTAGCTTCACCTTAAGGATTCCAATGGGTGTACAGTTCCAAGAGTGTGGAAGGACTCTTCTGAGTTGTGAGATTATAAACCCAAGGTTTGAGGTCCCAAAGTTTTGCTACAGAGTAGATGGCAGGACAGTCTTTCTCTGATGTTTCCAGAAATCCAATCATTGGGTTCTAGATTGTGAAGGGGTTGATTGTCCTTAGTCAGTGAACCATGAAAAGTTTTCTTTATCTGGTGAAAATAAACTGTGACATAATGATCTACTATTCTAACATCAGCTCTCTTGCATAGGAAAGCTTTTATACAACCAGAAAACATGCATTAAAAATTGACAGTTAGATGAAACCCCTCTATAAACATTTAAACGGCCCATCGGGTAGTGAAATGTACCTGAAGTTTTGATTGTCTTCCTAGGAATATGGGTTTGAAAAACCAAAGTTGGTCATAAACTATTTCAGCAATGTAGAAGTCACAACACACACACACACACACACACACACACACACACACACACACACATATATATATTTAATTTGGATCATTTTGTGGTTTCCAAGACGAGCATTAGAATGCAGAACTCTTAATAAGGAAATCTTTAAGGAGTGAGTAAAAACAAGGCAGCTGTCGTGGTTCTCCAAGAGTTTATGCTTAACACTGGACTTATGTCTTTTTGAATACCAGTTGTTTCTCCAATTTAGGTGAATAGCACTGATAACTAATAGGTTATCATAGGAAATTTGATTTATACCACGGAATTAATTCAAATTGTGTATCTAAAGAACTTCAGTACTGGATGATTTAGCATGAAAATCTGGCAAAGTATTTTCTTGGTATTCAATTTTTGTCTTGCTTGCATTAGCAGTTTTATAAACCAGTCAGTCACTTTACTAAAGTTCCAAGAATTCTTATCCAGTTCAAATTATATGATTCTAAAGTTATTACAAACCTTTATTCAAGAATGCGTCTCAGAATCCTTTACATTCTTTCATGAACCTCCTTAAAGATACTATATTCTAGGATTTTTTGTGCTTGTGAAGTTTTCATAAACTGCATCAGATTTAAGCAATTAACTGTGAAAATAACTTTCAACAGTCATAGTTAAGGACAAAATTGACAAGGAAATTTGATTATTTCTATGGCCTACAATAACTTAACATAATAAACATAATTATGATCAATAACATGTACTCAGACAAATTAGAACTTTAGAAATCCCATACAATTTTGTAACATATGTTAATAACATTTATCTTGAAGAAGGTTAATCATCATTTCTTATTTGACAATGCTTCTTATGTAACTTAACACGTAAAATAATTTTGTTAATGTCTCTTTTGGATGCTTCAGGGGTGCTCCATAGCATCCCAAAGTTGGAAGTCAAAAATACTTAATTTTGAAGCTGAAATTAGATTTTGGGAAACCTGTCAGATATGTCAAAGGTTTAAAACACTTGACCAAAATAGGATCACAGGTCACCATAAAACAACAGTCATTCATTTAACCAAGGTGATAAATATAAGATTTTTGAAAACAATAACCTTCTACTCTTTGATAAAAAAGACTCAGTTTTCAAAACAATCAAAAGACCTAAGACAGCATGAAACAATCTGTCTTTTCTTTTGTCTCTTTTTTCCTTTTTACAGTTTACTTAAAAGGTGAACAAAAATATTTTACTGTCTTATTAAACTACACACAATTTTTGTTCAAAAGAGTAAACAAAATTTTAGTTTTTATCAGTGTATTATCAATACTAAAGTTAATTTTAATAAAACCTTAGAAATAAATTTATCAAATCTGTCATCTTTTAAGCACAAAAAGTTTCCATAAATATTTTGCTTTACTTTTTCCCCAATTTTCTGTATTCATCTTGGTGTAGCTATTTTTTTACTCCTTCTATTTGACACCTTTAAGTGACTTCAAACCAGATAAAATTTATTTTTTATTTTGTTTTACTTTTTTTGAGACAGAGTTTTGCTCTCATTGCCCAGGCTGGAGCACAATGGCGCGACCTTGGCTAACTGCAACCTCTGCCTCCTGGGTTCAAAGGATTCTCCTGCCTCAGCCTCCGGAGTAACTGGAATTACAGGCACCCGCCACCACGCCCAGCTAATTTTTTGTATTTTTAGTAGACACGGGGTTTCACCATGTTGGCCAGGCTGGTCTCAAACTCCTGACCTCAGGTGATCCACCCACCTCGGCCTCCCAAAGCAAACCAGACAACATTTTTAACACACACTTTTATGTCTTCATAATTTTCCTCATCAAATGCATATCTTGCTTTTGTTTATACACTCTGTATACAGAGATGTTTCTCTCATATGTAGTATTTTTTAACTCTTAGTAACCCCAATTTCAAGGGTTTCTTAGAAATACTAATTACTTTCTAATTATAGAAAGTAATTTTGAACTGTTTTTTATCACAACTTGTAGCTAAAAACCATTTTATAATTTTTAGAAAGATAGTTCTTCAAAATGTTTATTAACAGGTCTAAATATATTTAGCTTATCTATATTATATAAAAATAACATGTCAAGGTATATAGACTTAAACTCATATTTAATATTTCAGTATCTTAACTTACAGATAACTCAGACATTTTATGATTATCTATTATTTAATTTAACATAACATGACTCGAAAATTTTAAATTACTGAAAAGAATTTTGAAACTATGACACAGGTTGCCTCACTAATGCCTTCCCCCAGTCATTCTAGGTCCCAAGTAGTCACATGACACCCAGCAGAACTATGAACAGAAGACAGAGCTGTGAAGACTGTACCTGAAAGATCCAACTCCTCCGAAAATAGCCAGGAGGCAAAACAGGAAAAGCAGAGGTAGAAGGGACCATGTTGGGCTTAATTTTGGCTTGTAGCTTCTGGTCTCGGCACTTAGAACAAATCTCCAGACGTCATCATGGCCACCTATCCAGACCCGTGAATCCAGAGACTCTAAACCAAAGACATATGCTCACGGTCAAATCAAGCAAGCATCTAACGATATTTACCTGATAATTTGTAAGTCATTTCTGTTTTACCAACAATTTAAAAACTAGCTTTATTTACCAAATATCACAAACACATATAGATATACAAACACACAGTGGCAGATCTTATAGTTCTCATAAAGGATTTCAATTTGCTGGCTTTTAAATAGTTTTTCTTTTTTTTTTCATTTGGTCTATCAGTCTTCTAATTACCTGTTTCATTACCCTAAGCAATTGTTAACAAGGCAACAAATTTGCATTTCTAAAGAGACAACTCTTAGTTGGAACAAAACAAAATTATATTTTATAATCATAGGACTTAGATTTTAGGCTTAAGTATTCTACTTGCTCAAACCAAGGGAGAAAAAGCTGCTCAAGTAAAAATGTACTCAAGACAAGATGGCCAGAAAAACATGTTAAACAAAGTATGACACATATAAATTTAAAAGAATGGTAAGGGTTGCTAGTGTACATCGGCAGACATCTTTAAAAACAGAGATTTCCTTTATAGTTGTAATTTTGTGTAAAACTGTGTTCAAATAGGGCAAATGCCAAGCTGTAACTAATCCAACTGTTTCTGTACCTCATTTCTGTTTTTTTAATGTCACTTTGATTTTTCTATGCATAAATCTTCTTCCACCATGTGGCTGCACTGGAGTCTCTGAGCCTACTCTGCAAAAGACACAAACAAATAGAAAAACATTCAATGCTCATGGATAGGAAGAATCAATATTATTAAAATGGCTGAACTGCCCAAAGCAATTTACAGATTCAATGCTATACCTATCAAACTACCAATGACACTCTTGACAGAACTGGAAAAAACTATTTTAAAATTTATATGGAGATGAAAAGGAGCCTGAATAGCCAAGGCAATCTTAAGCAAAAAGAGTAAAGCTGGAGGAATCATGTTACCTGACTTTAAGCTATCCTACAGTGCCACAGTAACCAAAACAGCATGGTACTGGTACAAAAACAGTCATATAGACCAAGGGAACTGAATAGAGGGCCCAGAAAAAAGGTCATACATCTATAACCATCTGATCTTTGACAAAGCTGACAAAAACAATCAATGGGGAAAAGAGTCCCTGTTTAATAAATGGTACTGGGATAATTGACTAGCCATATGCTGAAGATTGAAGCGGGACCCCTTCCTTATATCATATACAAAAATTAACTCAAGACAGATTAAAGACTTAAATGTAAAACCCAAAAGACTAAAAACCCTGGAAGACAACCTAGGCAATACTATCTGGACATAGGAATGGGCAAAGATTTCATGACAAGGACACCAAAAGCAAAGGCAATAAAAGCAAAAATTGACCAATGGGATCTAATTAAACTTAAGAGCTTCTTCACAGCAAAATAAACAAAAAAATTATCCACATAGTAAACAGACAACCTACAGAATGGGAGAAAATATTTTCAAACTATGCATATGACAAAGGTCAAATATCCAGCATCTATAAGGAACTAAAACAAATTTACAAGAGACAAACAACCCCATTAAAAAGTGGGCAAAGTACATGAACAGACATTTCTCAAAAGAAAACATATGCGGCCAACAAGCATATGAAGAAAAGCTCAATATCGCTGATCATTAGACAAATGCAAATCAAAACCATAATCAGATACCATCTCACACCAGTTAGAAAGGCTAATTATTAAAAAGTCAAAAAATAACAGATGCTGGTGAGGTTGTGGCGAAAAGTGAAACTTTATACACTTCAGGTGGGAGTTTAAATTAGTTCTACCATTGTGGAAAGCAGTATGGCGATCCTCAAAGAGTTAAAAGCAGAACTACCATTCAACCCCAAAACCCCATTACTGGGTATATACCCAGCGGAATATAAAGCATTCTATTGAAAAGACATATGCATATGAAGGTTCACTGTAGCACTGTTCACAATAGCAAAGACATGAAATCAACTTAAATGTCCATCAATAACAAACCAGATAAAGAAAATGTGACACATATATACCATGGAATACTATGCAGCCATAAAAAGTAACAAGATCATGTATTTTGCAGGAACATGGATGGAGCTGGAGGCTATCATCCTTAGCAAACTAACACAGGAACACAAAATCAAATACCACATGTTCTCACTCCTAAGTGGGAGCTACATGATAAGAAATTATGCACACAAAAAAGAAAACAACAGATACTGGGGTCGACTTGAGTGGGGAAAGTGGGAGGACAGAGAAGGGCAGAAAACATAACTATCGGGTACTTAGCTGAAAACCTGGATGATGTAATAATATGTACAACAAACCCCCGTGACATGTGTTTGTGTAACAAACTTTCACATCTACCTCCAAACCTAAAATTTTAAAAATTCTTAAAGTCAGGAAGTAAGCATCTTTTCAATGAATTATATAAAGTCTATATTCTTCATTTATTGAAATAAAACATTTCTTGATATGTAAGGAGAAACTTACGTCTGAGTTGACATTTCATATAGTATGGCTTTTAGGTACTCTGGAGGGATATTTGAAATAGTGTGCACTGTTAATATTTCTATAGGGCCAAATAGTAGAAGTTATATAAGATTATTCAATTTAAAATCATAGTGGATTTGATTCACCTGTTAAAACATTTCTAAATTTAATAAGGAGAAAGCTCAAAGAATACATTTAGAAAATTTAGTAACCAACTTTAGCTAACATGCTTTGAGGTTGCATCTTGTTACATAAAGCACAGACAATTGTACACACAATATCTGGTGCATCCAGTGGGACCTATGTACATGAACTCTTCATTTTTAAAAGCCTGAAGGATTATCTTAATTGCATTCAGGCACTAACTTTTTTGAAGAAGAAGCAGTCTACCTTACAGTTACCATGGACACTTACTTTTAACATTAAAGTAATACCTCCCATATCTTTCCCTGTTCGTTCCTTCTGAATGGATATTAGAAGAGAAACTACATTACCTCCTGTCTTGTAGGCCTCTCTATTCAGCACACGGCAGATCTCTTAGCATATATTGACCATACTGCTGGGGACAGTGCTCCATGGAAGATGGACCTAATACTACCATTTCAACGGATATTTCAGACATTTATCTAGTGCCTACTCCAGACCAGGTAATTTAAAATGCAATTGGCATAAAGAGCCAAATATGGACAGACTCCTGCCATGAGAAAACTATCAATTTGAGGGGAGAGGCAGCCTTCACAAACAAGAATTGTGATTATATAATTATGTAATACTAGAGGCAGGTACGCTGGAACATAGAAGCTCATAGAAATGCACTGTTCCTTGGGGTGTCTGGAAAATGTTATGGGGTGGTTGCATTTGAGCTGTTTCTTAAATGATATGTAAGAACTTGCCACACTGAGGAATTTTAAAAAACGGAGGAAGGAAGTCAAATCAGGAAGATCATATTGTACAAGGGCACATGTACCCCAAAACTGTCCTAGAAATTGTCTAGAGATGCCCAATATTCCTGTCTTGCGGATGTGATATGTGCAGATTGGAAAGGGGATGTGGCCTGCCCCATCTCACAGAGTGAAACCAGTTGCTTTCAATTAAGTGTTCTGGCCAGTACACACTATTTCTCTTTATGCAAATAAAAATGTCATGACATTCAGAATTTATAAAACAGTCCATCCCCAACCTCATCCCCTTTGACTTGCATAGATCCTTGCATTTTTATTTTTATTTTTTTCTTCAACTTTTATTTTAAGTTCCGGGGCACATGTGCAGAATGTGTAGGTTTATTACATAGGTAAACATGTCATGGTGGTTTGATGCACAGATCAACCCATCACCTAGGTATTAAGCCCAGCATCCATTAGCTATTCTTCCTGATGCTCTCTCTCACCTCGCCCACCCTGACAGGCCCCAGTGTGTGTTGTTCCCCTCCATGTATCAATGAGTTCTCATCATTCAGCTCCCACTTATAAGTAAGAACATGTAGTGCTTGGTTTTCTGATCCTGTGTTAGTCTGCTGAGGATAACTGCTTCTAGCATCATTAATGTCCCTGCAAAAGACATGATCTCGTTCCTTTTTATGGCTGCAAAATTTTCTTTATTCGGTCTGTCATTGGTGGGCATATGGATTGATTCCATGTCTTTGCTATTGTAAGCAGTGCTGCAATGAACATACCTGTATATATCTTTGTAATAGAATGATTTATACTCATTTGAATATACACCCAGTAATGGGATTGCTGGGTCAAATGGTATTTCTGGTTCTAGGCATTTGAGGAATCTCCACACTGTCTTCAATGGTTGAACTAATTTACATGCCCACCAACAGTGTAAAAGCATTTCTTTCCCTCTGCAACCTTGCCAACACCTGCTGTTTTTTGACATATATATATAGATAGAGAGATAGATGATAGATAGATAGATAGATAGATAGATAGATAGATAGATAGATAGATATGGATACAGATATAGATATAGATATAGATATATAAAGTTCTGGGATACATGTGCAGGTTTGTTACATAGGTAAATGTGTGCCATGGTGATTTGCTGCACCTATCAACCATCACCTAGATATTAAGTGCAGCATTCATTAACTATTTTTCCTGATGCTCTCCCTTCCACCACCCCCTCCCCAACAGGCTCCAGTGTGTGTTCTTCCCCTCCTTGTGACTATGTGTTCAACTCCCACTTATAAGTGAGAACATACAGTGTTTGATTTGCTGTTCCTGCATTAATTTGCTGAAGATCATGGCGTCCATGTCCCTGCAAAGGACATTATCTCATTCCCTTTTATGGTTGCATAGTATTCCATGGTGTATATGTACCACATTTTCTTTATTCGGTCTGTCATTGATAGGAATTTGGGTTGTTTCCATGTCTTTGCTATTGTAAACAGTGCTGCAATAAACATACACATGAATGTATATTTATAATAGAATCATTTATATTTCTTTGGGTATATACCAGTAATGTGATTGCTAGATCAAATGGTATTTCTGGTTCTAGATCTTTGAGGAATCGCCACACCATTTTTCACAATGGTTGAACTAATTTACATTCCCATCAACAGTGTAAAAGCATTCATATTTCTCTGCAGCCTCTCCAGCATCTGTTGTTTCTTGACAGAATAAGTGCCATTCTGAAAGGCATGAGATGATATCTCATTGTGGTTTTGATTTGCATTTTTCTAACGATTAGTGATGTTGAGCTTTTTTCATACATTTGTTGGCTACATGAATGTCTTCTTTTGAGAAGTGTCTGTTTATGTCCTTTGCCCACTTTTCAATGTGGTTATTTGGTTTTTTCTTGTAAATTTGTTTACATTCCTTGTTGACTCTGGATATTAGACCTTTGTCAGATGAATAGATTGCAAAAATTTTCTTTCATTCTGTAGGTTCTCTGTTCACTCTGATGCTAGTTTCTACCAGAGGTGCAAAGAAGAGCTGGTAGCATTTTTACTGAAACTATCTCAAACAATTGAAAAGGAGGGACTCTTCTCTAACTCATTTTATGAGGTCAGCATTATCCTAATACCACAACCTGGCAGAGATACAAAAAAGAAAAAAAGAAAACTTCAGACCCATATTCTTGATGAACACTGATGCAAAAATCTTTAGTAAAATACTTGCAAACCAAATCCAGCAGCATGTCAAAAAGCTTATCCATCATGATGAAGTCGTCTTCACCCCTGGGATACAAAGCTGGTTCAACATACACAAATCAATAAATGCAACTCATCACGTAAACAGAACTAAAGAAAAAAACACATTATTATCTCAATTGATGCAGAAAAGGCCTTTGATAAAATTCAACATCTTTTTCTGCTGAAAGTTCTCAATAAGCTAGGTATTGAAGAAACATACTTTAAAATAATAAGACCCATCTATGACAGACCCACAGCCAATATTATTGTGAATGGGCAAAAGCTGGAAGCATTCCCCTTGAAAACCGGCACAAGACAAGAATGCCCTCTCTCATCACTCCTATTTAATACAGTATTGGAAGTTCTGGCCCGGGCAATCAGGCAAGAGAAGGAAAGAAAGTGTATTCAAATAGGAAGAGAGGAAGTCAAATTATCTTTGTTTGCAGATGACATAATCCTATATCTAGAAAACCCCATTGTCTCAGCTCCAAAGCTTCTTAAGCTGATAAGCAACTTCAGGAAAGTCTCAGGATACAAAATCAGTGTTCCAAAAAAGCTAGAATTCCTGTACACCAAAAACAGGCAAACAGAGAGCGAAATCACGAATGAACTCCCATTCACAATTGCTACAAACAGAATAAAATATCCAGGAATATAGCTAACAAGGGAAGAGAAGGACCTCTTCAAGGAGAACTAGAAATCACTGTCCAAGAAATCAGAGAGGACACAAACAAATAGAAAAATATTCCAAGCTCATGAATAAGAAGAATCCATATCATGAAAATGCCCTAACTGCCCAAAGTAATTTATAGATTGAATGTGGTTCCCATTAAACTACCATTAACATTCTACACAGAATTAGAAGAACCTGTTTTTAAATTCATATGGAACCAAAATAGAGCCCAAAGAGCCAAGACAATCCTTGCATTTTAAATCCAGATTGAATGAATAGCCTCATATTCTGATGTAGCAGTAGTTTACCTGTGTGGAACAGTGGGAACCATACAGATACGCACAGAAGGAAGTGTTCTTCCCAAACAATTTCCTCAAGTTTGGGCCTTTCATTCTCAGAGCCTTCCAGATAGCTAACTCCTTAAAGTTATGCCTCTGACTTAAATATCTGCTCATTTAGTACATTTAGCTGCCTTTAGAAATTTGTGATGTTTAAAAACATAGCAAGAGAGAAAGCAGGCAAAAGCATGCTAGTAGGAATACAACCAGATATGTTCAACTATTGCCATTTATGTTGCTATACTAATGAAACACCACGTTAAAATCAACAACAATAACAAAAATTCAATTGAGTGAAAGAAAAATTTTACCTAAAGGCAGAAAAGCGGGCATACAGTATACCCCAGTATATCCCAATACACATTTCTTTTTTTGTTTTGGAGATGGAGTCTCCCTCTGTCACCCAGGCTGGAGTGCAGTGACACAATCTCGGCTCACTGCAACCTTTGCCTGCCAGGTTCAAGCAAGTCTCCTGCCTCGGCCTCCCAAATAGCTGGGACTACAGGTGCACAGCACCACACCCAGCTAATTTTTGTATTTTAATAGAAACGGGGTTTCACCATGTTGACCAGGCTGGTCTTGAACTCCTGACCTCAGGTGACCCACCCGCCTCGGCCTTCCCAAGTGGTGAGATTACAGGCATGAGCCACTGTGCCTGGCCACACAGTTCTTGAATAAATCAATCTTGATGCTAAGTGCAATGGTTTAGCGACTAGAAAAAATGAGTATTAGTTCAGTTCTGTCATTTGCCAGCAGGGATACCCTAGATATCCTCTCAAAATCTCAATTTTTTCACCCATAAACTAATAGAAATAACTATGCATGGTGAGTGCATAGAAAGTAAAATAGAGTAATGCAAGTCAAAATATTTGGAGAAAATAGGAAATGAGATTAGAAGATATTAAATTTAGACTTATGTTTAAATGCTGTACTAACAATTTTGAGTGCCAGTTTTCTTATATGTGATATATATTTATTTTATTTCCACTTTAATATTGCTATATTAAATGCTGCTGAGGTTTTCCAAGTTCTCTGGCTATTATCAACAGTTATATTTTATTAATGAAATATAGTTATGCAAAATAGAAGCTTGCAGAGTTTCAAAAGAAAATAGATAAATACAACGTTATAAATTCATCTAAAAATATATTAAGGGGGCTTACTTTGACCACATGATACTGCATGGTTGGCTACCATTGATGTTACCTCTTTCTTTTACTAAACTGAAAAATAAATAAAGTTATAAGAGAAAAATTGTCTCTTTATGAAATGGAAAGATAATTTTGCATTTATGCAGTTATACAAATTGCAAAGCACTTTCATATTCACTATTACATTGATCTCCCAAATAACCTTCTATACTGGAAGAAAACATACAACTCTAAGTATCTTGTTACTGTTACCTCTCCTTTGTAGATGAGAACAATGTTGCTGAGATTTACAAAGGTAATAAGAGGTAGAGCTTGGTCTAGGACCCAGGCCTCTTGTTGTCTTGCCTTATGCTTTTTCTCCTATACCACAACATTCTTTCAATCATACAGCTTGAACTAATAGCCAGTATTACATCAAAATGAGGACTGTGTTTCTATGCCAATATCTCAGCTGCAGTATGATCTAGAATTTGGGGATTCAGCAATGCTTCATGAAGAAAGCTGACCACCAAGCACAGAAAAATTTATTTATGGGGTTTTATGTAATGCAGGTTTCAAATATGAGAGAACATTTGTTTTAGGATTTATTTTAATAGTTTAAACAAATATCTAAAGTAATTTTCAAAAAGTGATAGTTTAAAACAGGCTATACTGTTTTTATTCTATTCACCATTAGTCCTATAAATATGAAATTAAATGCATGTTTTTAGCCGGTATTAAAGGATTCTTACAGTGAGTCACACAAAGATGATTAGCTATTTCCTGGTGACTCATTTGTTTCTGTGGCTTCTTCCCTCCTTAAATCAAGTCAGGTTTTAACAACAGTCTCCACGAGCAAGTCTTTTGCTTTTAATAATAAATTGATATAAAATTATACATATAGAAAATAAGTAAGTGAGGTACAATCTGTAAGAGAGTGGATTTACTGGATTTTGTTAATTCTCTAAGTTTCAAAAACAAATACTTTTATTGGTCTAACAGAGTTCAGTTCAATTGTATATAAAATTCTCATCTGAAGTGATAGATCCAACAGGAAGTGAGAAGTACTATGTTCATTACTTATTTAAACTGTCGTTTTACAACTTTCAAGATAATATATACTATATATGTATATTTAATTGTCAGTTAGGGATTTGTATCCATTTTCTAAAACTACTGTAGATAATTGCCACAAATTGGGTGGCTAAAAACAACTGAAATTTATTTTCTCACAGTTCTGAGCTCTGTGAGCTAGAAATTCAAAATCAGGTTATTGGCAGGGCCACACTTCCACTGAGGGCTGTAAGTAGGAGTGATTTTTTTTTTTTTTTTTTTTTTTTTTTTTTTTGCTTCCTCTAGTTTCTGGTAGTCCCGGGCATTCCTTGCCTTCTGGCTTCTGACAGCAAAACTCTAATCTCTGCCTCTGTGGTCATGGTATTCTCCCCTTGTGTCTGTGTCTCTTCTCCTCTTTGTATAAGAACAGCAGTCATATGGGATTATGATACCACCCTACTCCAGTATGACCTCATTTTAATGAACTATGTCTGCAGGAACCTTAGTTCCAAATAACATCACATTCTGAAGAATTAACATGTCAACATATCTTTTTTTTGTGGGGTCGGGGGCTGTATATGAGGACACAATTCACCGTGTAACAGGGCTTCAATCGCATGGTCGAAAATTAAACTATCCATTAATAATACCTCTTCCACCCTTGTGCCTCATTTGCCCAATTCCCATCACATTACCAAATGTAATTACTGTTTCTTATGTAGAAATCAGTGATTTATTCAATTTTTTAGAAATTATATTCTAATTTCTTTGTTTTATATATATATGTATATTTGAGTTTAATTATGTATAAGCAAGAAAATACAAATGTATCTCCTTACATTCTTTCTTTTAAACAATGGGCAACACACTGTAACTTTGTTCTTTACTTACATTTTTACTTGAAACCATTTTTGGAGACTTTTGCAAATCAACAATGGAAGAAATAGCTAATGCTTATATAGCGTTTACTATATATGAAATGAGCTGATATATCTAAGGTTGATGAAAATCCTAAACAGTAAGTTCTAGTATTATCTGCATTTTATATATGATGAAAATGAGCCTTAGGAACTTACCCAGGATTACACAGTTAATAAGCAATAGAGTTGTGAGAGGAAGCCAGGAAGACTTGTTCTGATATCAGCGGCCTAAAACATTGCATTAAACTGTCTCTCTAAAGAATGTCTTTGTTCTTTCTTAAAACAGGATTGTACTCCAATATATAAATGTAGCATGACTTATTCATCTTGTGATCAATTCACACTGAGATATTTTTATCATTGTTTCAACAAATACTTTTGCAATAAATAACATTATGTAACATTTCATTTTACGCATACACAGGACCATTAATGGGTTTAATTCATGAAGTGGAATTCTAGGGACAAAAAAATCTATGTATTTGAAATTTTGATAGACAGTGTCAAATTTCATTCCAATTTGTATTCCTACCAGTAACAAATGAAAGTGATTGTTTATATAAGGCTTCGCCAGTAAGTTTATTACCAAGACTTTCAATTATAGCCAATCTGATAGTTTCAAAAGAGAAATTTCAAGTAGTTTTAAGTAATATTTCTTTTATTACAAGTGAGGATAGTTACCTTCTCCAGTTGCAGGTACTCTTTATATATAAGAAGATTCATTTTTTCCTGATGATAAAAGTAACATTTTTGTTCTGTGTCATTTTTTTGTACTTTATTCACAGTGCTTTCATTTGTTGTTGTTGCTTTGTATTTTGATCTTAGCCTTACAAGTTTTACTTGTATTTCATAAAATCAAATTTATTAATCATTTCTATTATATTTTTTACTCTTTTAACTGACAAATGATCATTGTGTATATTTCCGGGGACCAATATGATGTTTCCCTCTATGTATAAGATGAAATCAAGCGAATTAACATATCCATCATCCCACCAACTTATATTTTGGTGATAAGAATGTTTTAAAAATCTATTCATTTAGCAACTTTGAAATATACTATATATTATCATTAGCTGTAGTCACCATGTAGTGCAATAGGTCTCTAAAACTTATTCTTGCAGTCTAACTGAAATTCTATGCAGCCATAAGAAATGATGAGTTCATGTCCTTTGTAGGGACATGGATGAAACTGGAAATCATCATTCTCAGTAAACTATCGCAAGGACAAAAAACCAAACACCGCATGTTCTCACTCATAGGTGGGAATTGAACAATGAGAACACATGGACACAGGAAGGGGAACATCACACTCTAGGGCCTGTTGTGGGGTGGGGGGAGCGGAGAGGGATAGCATTAGGAGATATACCTAATGCTAAATGATGAGTTAATGGGTGCAGCACACCAACATGGCACATGTATACATATGTAACTAACCTGCACATTGTGCACATGTACCCTAAAACTTAAAGTATAATAATAATAAAATAAAAAAAGAAACAAAATAAAGTTTCCTGATATCAATTAATAGATTAAAATACAGGTAAACACTTGTTTACAGTCTTTGTTTAACAAACCTTGCATTTAAGTCTAGGTGGCATCAACACATAGGAAATAGGTGTATGAAGATATGACTTTGAGATTAAAGTTAGTCCAAAAATGTAAATAAATGTGGAACATGTCCTTGTGGAGGCAGGTGGAAGAAAGGCATCTTTCATTCAATGGATTTATACAAGTTATCTATTATTTACTTCTGCTTATCTAGTAAAGCTATCTTCATATTTAAATTACTGCTTCATTTGAAACATATGCTGATATATGATTTAAGGTACAAATCCAACTTCTGTTGTTTACCAAATGGTTACTCAAGTTTTTCTAACACTGTATATAAAACAAGTTTATGTTCTTGCACTGACTTGAAGTGACATCTGTATAATACTAAACTCTTATATGCATTGAGGTCCATTCCTGGATGTCAAATTCTCTTCATCTTTTGACTATTCATGTATCTGTAACAAACATTCCATTTAAAATTTAATTGTATCTTTTATTTAATGTTTAATTGACTAATCATTATATACATCGTATATTTATGGCATACAATATGATATTTTGCTATATGTTTACATTCTTGAATAATTAAATCAAACTATATTTACAAATCCATCATTTTACATACTTATTTTCTGTGGTGAAAACATTTAAAATCTACTATTTCGGCAATTTTAAAACATGCAGTAATTATTGTTGTGCAGTAGATCACTAAATCCTTCTAACTAACTGAAATTTTGTACCCTTTGATTAACATCTTCCCTTTCTCCATCTACCCCATTCCCCTAGCCCCGGTAACCACCATTTTACTCTGTTTCTGTAAGTTTGACTTTTTTTAAGATTCCACATGTAAATGTGAGCATGCAGTATTTGTTGTTTTGCGTGTGCCTGCCTTATTTCTCTTAGCATAATGCCCTCCACATTTATGCATGTTATTGCAAGTAACAGAATTTTATTTTTTAAGACTGAACAGTGTTATATTATGTATATATATATACCACGTTTTCTTTATCCATTAATCCATTGACCCACATTTAGGTTGTTTCCATATCTTGGCTATTTTAAATAATTCTGCAATGAACATCAGAGTGCGGATGTCTTTTGTACATATTGATTTAAATTCCTCTGGATATACACAGGTTGAGTATGCTTTATCTAAACTGCTTGGGACCAGAAGTGTTTGGAGTTTTAATTTTTTTCAATTATTAGCATATTTGCATATATATAATGAGATATATAGGGAATGGGACCCAAATTGAAATACAAATATGTTTGCTTCATATACTCTTTATATACATAGGCTGAATGTAATTTTATATAATATTTTAATGATTTTATGCATGAAACAAACATTTGTATACATTGAATCATCAGAAAGAAATGATGTCACTATCTCAGCCACCCACGTGGAAAATCTGTGGTTGTTTGTCATCACCGTCATTCCTCACTCTAAATTTATATGCTACTGATAAGCAATCATTTTCTCACATTTATTCACACATCAATACTTAACAGTAAAAATTATGACATGCCGTTAATACAGTGAAAAATAATATGCTCAGTGTAACAAAATAACACAGTAGCATCATCATAATTCTTGTATTAACTGTTAAACAACAAACTACAGCAGCATTTTAGTTTCTACCCACGATGCTGTGTTTTGATTAAAAGGTTACAGTACATTGTATTTTTTTTTTAGATGAGAAGAAACACCAGAAGCAGTTGAAGGACCAGGAAATGGGTCCTTGAGGGATGAGGAGGCATTCTGCTGGATGGCTTTTAAAATGTTTCCTCCAGATTCATTTGTCTCATTAACAACAGTTTTTGTCTTAGAAGTCTCTCTTTGATTTTATAAACAGACATAATTTCTTGTTCTATTATGAATGCACACATTCTAGTCCTCAATAAGACTAGTACACATTTTCACCATGTTACTGATAGGCTCTTCTTTTTGCAGTGTTAACAATATCATCTTCATTTTGATTATTATCAAAATCACTTTGATAAAGAGCCATTTTGGCTATTTCACCATTAGTCAACTAATGAACTACTGGAACCTCTTTAGTGATATTAAAAATTTCTTTGATAGTCACTTCTTCCATATTACTGATGGACTCTGAGGGTATATTTTTTGCATATGTAAGGAGGTCAGACATTATTTTGTTCTCACTTTACATACATAATTATTCAGTCACTTCCTTGTTTACCATCATCACTGAAAACAGTTGCAGGCCAGAGGCTGTGCCAGGTATGCACAACTGTATCTTTAGTCACTGTGTTCCAAGTGTTAGCAAAAACATATAGGACAACCTTCACGCCAAACTCCTTCTGAAAACCTTCCACACCCATGCCTCTGTTCACTGCTGCTAGCATACTGTTCAAAAAGTGTCTTATATTTACTCTTCATTGATGCAAGGATACCCTGGTAACAGGGCTGAAGTAAGAAGTCACATTTGGGGAAAAGTACATTGCACAAACAGTATTTTTGATGACAATTTTAGCTGGAGGATGAGTAAAACAGTTATAAAGAAACAACACAATCTTGCAGTCATTTTCCAATCAGCTTCCCTGTAGTGAGCATCAGCTGCTGGTATAAAATTGCTTGAGAAAAAATCAGAAAACATGTCCCTGGTGACACGTGCCCTTTTGTTAACATAATAATGGACTAGTACTAAATTCACTCCTTAAAACCAGTGAGAATGCAAGCTTTTGCCTATCACAGCAAGTTTAGACTTATGCATGCCTGCTGCATTAGCAAATCCTAACAGAGTTATTCTGTGCTTTGCATCCTTAATTCCTGTCTCTTCGCCTGTACTCTGTGACTTTCTGGGGCAATAATTCCAAAACATGATATTTTATCATCATTGTAGACTTGTTCTGACATGAGATTTTCATCAGCAAGGACTTTGGTAAACTTGTCACTGAATTTCCCTGCTGCTTTATGACAGCAGATGCTTTCTCACCACAAATTTCAACAATTTAATGTTGTGGCTTTTTCTAAATCTCTGAAACTAGCTTGCTGAATATTCTAGTTCTTTTCAATTTTCCATTCCTTGTGATAGATCTTTCTTCGTTTTATGGTCAGTATACCTTTAAGTGGCATGTGTTCAGTGCAGTGCTCATGGATCCACTCTTTCAAAATACAATAAAGATCTTCATTTGATTTTTAAGTTTATGCATTTTTTTAAATTCATTAACTTCTGCTCATCATGTGCAGCCTAAAACATCAAAAGTTTAGCATTCTTTTTCTTCAGGTCATATATGCTGTTCATTCCAATATCATACTCTTCTGTAAGACATTTCACACTTACACTGCTATCTTGTTTCTCCAACAACTTGACTTTCTATGTCAAAGATAAACATAAATGGTGCCTCTTCTATTTAATTATTAAATAAATTATATTTATTAGTAATTTATATATAAATTTATTTCATTATTTATAAATACATTGTATTTATTAAACATAAATGCTTTCCTCTTATCACCGTTACTCATAAAAGTATCTGCAGGCCTTCTTGATATTTTACACTGTATCTTTACAACCACACAACAGAGAATGAACCAAAAATAATACTAATATGTAAAGCCTGTAGGTATTGGCCCCATGTGGGGCATCATGGGAAACCTCTTGTTGATGCATCTAGCCTACACACATATAATTTTATTGCATTTTGTGGGCATGTTTGTAGGAATCTGGGCATGCACAGAAAAGACATACTACAGCTGAGAGAAGCTGGAAAAATCTTTTTTCCCTGGGGGGTACTAAATAAACTGTGTCTTGTGTACCTGTTTTGACTGTAACCTGTCACTTGAGGTCAGATGTGAAATTTTTCACTTGTGACTTCATCTCAGAACTCCAATTTGGGAGCATTTTAGAAACTGAATTTCTTTTTTTTATTATTGTACTTTAAGTTCTAGGGTACACGTGCACAATGTGCAGGTTTGTTACATATATATACATGTGCCGTGTTGGTTTGCTGCAACCATTAACTCATAATTTACATTAGGTATTTCTCCTAATGCTATCCCTCCCCTATCCCCCCACACCATGACGGGCCCCAGTGTGTGATGTTCCCTTCCCTGTGTCCAAGTGTTCTCATTGTTCAATTCCCACCTATGAGTGAGAACATGCGGTGTTTGGTTTTCTGTCCTTACGATAGTTTGCTCAGAATGATGGTTTCCAGCTTCATCCATGTCGCTACAAAGGACATGAACTCATCCTTTTTTATGGCTGTATAGTATTCCATGGCGTATTTGTGCCACATTTTCTTAATCCAGTCTATCCTTGATGGACATTTAAAACCACAGCCAGTATCATACTGAATGGATATTGAATTTCTGGATTAGAGATGTTCAAAATGTATATCCAGAAGTGGGATTTCTGGATTATATGGTAATTCTATTTTTAGTTTTCTGAGGAAACTTCAGACTCCTTTCTATAATGGGTCTCATTTATTACAGTTTTATATATTTCAAATCCTCATATAATTATTCCCTTTTTAGTACTCTTTCAGAATGTTTTATATATACTTCTTTATTTTTCTCTACAGGCATGACGATCAGATTCTCTAACTTCCCACAAAACACTGTTAGTGTTTTTATTGGGTTTGTGTTAAATTTATAGGCTAGTTTATGGAGGATTAATAACATGTTTTTGGTCATTTATATTTAGGATAGTATATACTGCTTATCTTCTTTTTTGTCCTTCATGAGTGCTTTTACAGTTTTCTCTTTATATAAAACTTGCCTACTAGTATTAACACATCTTACATATTTAGTCTGTTTAATTGCTATTGTTAAGCTGTGACTTCTTCCATCACACTCTCTATTCCATTTCAATAATAACCATATTGGTGGTTATGCATTCATATGAAAGTTATTAATTTCTGTGTATTATTTTGCACCTCACTGATTCACTGCTTTTCATTACTTTTTTCATTTGATCTACCGGGATTTTCTATAAATACAATCTTATCACTTGCAAATAGGGATAGTTTCACATCCCTCTATGCAATTTATATCTAATTTCTTTCAGAGGTCTAATTGCTTTAGCTAGTATTTCCAAGTTAACATCAAATAATAAGAATAATTGTGAACATTCTCATCTACTTTTTTACTTTAACATGAATGGATCTATTATTTACTTATTAAGCATAATGCTGCTTTTGGGGTGAGAATTTTACTAGCTTAAGAAAATATCCATGCATTCTTATTTTATGAACTATTTTTATAAATCGAGAAATTGTTGAATTTTGCAATATGCTTTTCAGCATCTATAGAGTCAATCAAAAATGGTTCTTAGGTCTGCTATGATAATGAGTTAAATTATCAGGTATCCTATTACTGTACTTTCTTTGTATTCCTGAAACAAATCTTACTCAATATGGATTTGCTCTTTTAATGTGCTGTTGAATTACTAATATTTTAGGTTGAGTTTTGCATCTATTTTTCTAAATGAGATTGGTTTAAAGTTTTATTTTTTGTGCTGTTGTTTGAAATTTTCTATGAGTCTGAAGTAGCTTCATGAAAAATAAATAGCTTTAGGCTCTATTTATTTCCATGCCCTGAAGTTATTTATTTATTTTTTTCCAGAGATTTTCTTATTATTATAGGGAATGTCCTTGCATGTCTACACTCTATTATTATTTTTTTTTAATTTTTATTATACTTTAAGTTCTAGGGTACACGTGCACAATGTGCAGGTTTGTTACATAGGTATACATGTGCCATGTTGGTTTGCTGCACCCATCAACTCGTCATTTACATTAGGTATTTCTCCTAATGCTATTCCTCCCCCGTCTCTGAAGTAAATTTTTTTTTTAAGGTTAGATAGAATCTTCCAGAGAAACCATTACCTGAGTCTTTTTTTGTTTCTGTTTATGTGAGGTGGGGTGATCTTTTGGATAATTTTCTCAAATTATTCTGTGGAAACTAGTCTGTTGAGATATTCTATGTATTTTACGGTCGTTTTTGGTAAAGTACATTTTTCTAGAAAATTATCTATTTCATCCAATTTTTCACATTTATTACCATAGAGGTGAAAATATTAGTTTCTTATAGTTGCAATTTTATCAGTTTATTTATTTCCCAATTTTCATTTCTTTTTCTCACATATTTGTGGTTTTTGCTAATTAAGTTATTTAAAGAGTTGCTTATTTAATGAGAGGGCGGCACAGGATGGTACAGTAGAACTCTCCAGGGATTATCCTCCAACAACGACATCAATTTGAACAACTATCCACACACAAAAAATCACCACAAGAACTCAGGAACTTAGGTGAAAGATTACAGTACCTCATTTCAGTATAATAATAATAAAAGATGCATTAAACAGGGTATGAAGAACAATTTTACATTACCCATGTAATTTCTTACCTAATTTAATAAAATTTAAGAAAAAAAATAATGTATTTAAACTGTACTTGAGACCAAATGGACCTAACAGACATGTACAGAACATTCTATGCAACAGCTACCGAATACACTTTTTTCTCAACTCCACATTAAACATTCTTTCAGGTAGATTATGTAAGGCTGTAAAACAAATATGAACAAATCTAAGAAGATTTAAATCATATCAAATAACTTCTAACCACAGTTCTATCAAACTAGAAATCAAAAATAGAAGAAATCTTGAACATTTTGCAGATACATGAAAATTAAACATGCTCTTGAACAAGCAAGTGGTCAACAGAAATAATTAAAAGAGAAATTAAAATTTTTGAGACAAATGGAAATAGAAACAAAACATACCAAAACCTTTAGAATATAGCAAAAGAAGTTTAAAGAGACTACTTTATACCAATAAACATTTACATTAAAAAAGGTTTCAAATAAAAAACCTAATATTACACTTCAGTTAACTAAAAATACAAGAGCAAAGAGAAACCCAAATTAGTAGAATGAAAGAAATTATAAAGATTGAGTCAGAAATAAACAAAATAAAGAGTAAAAAAGTCAACAAAACAAAGAGCTGGATTTTTTAAAAGGTAAACATAATTGACAAACTTTTAGCTAGACTAGCTAAAATAAAAAGAGGAAGGAGCCAAATAAAACCAGAGATGGAAAAGCTGATACTACAACTGTTACAGCAGAAATACTAAGAATTATTAGAGACGATTTTGAACAAATATATACCAACAAAATGGAAAGCCTAGAAGAAATAGATAAGTTCTTGGAAACAACCTACCAAATTTGAATCATGAAGAAATAGAAAAACCTTAACAAGAGTGAATCAGTGATAAAATATCTCCCATAAAAGCAAAGCCCAGGACCTAATGGCATCACTGCTGATTTTTCCTATACATTTAAATAAAAATTATTATTCATTCTTTTCAAACTATTTCAAAAAAATTGGACAGAATGGAATTCTTCCAATCTCATTCTATGGGGCCAGCTGGACAGGATGGAATTCTTCCAAACTCATTCTATGGGGCCAGCATTACCCTGATACCAAAACCAGACAAGGACAAAGCACTAAAAGAAAACGGGAGTGTAGGGTAATATCCCTGATGAACATAGATGCAAAAATCCTCAAAAAGCACTAGCAAACCAAATTCAACATTACATTATAAAGGTTATTAACGATGATGAAGTGATATTCATCCCAGGGTTGCAAGGATGGTACAATGCACAGAAATGAATAAAGATAATACACCACATTAAAAGAATGAAAGACAAAAAGTATATGACCACTTCAATAAATGCAGAAGTGTTTGAAAAAATAGACATTCTTTTATAATAAAAATTCTCAACAAATGTAGTATTGCAAGAATGTATTTCAACACAATAAAAGCTATGTATGACAAATCCACAGATAACATACTAAATGGAAAAATGTTAACAGTTATTCCTCTAATATCTGAAATAACACAAGAATGCCCACTTTCACCACTTTTATTCAAATTAGTACTGTAAGTCTTAGGCAGATCGACTAAGAAAGAGAAGTAAATAAAAGGCATCCAAATTGGAAAAAAAGAAAGTCAAATTTTTTCTATTTACAGAAACATGACATTTTTAAAAAATAAAAACTTCATAGAAACACTGTTAGAATTTAAAAAAATGCAGTGAAGTTTTGAGATATAAAATCAACATTAAAAATCATAATATTTCTATATTCCAATAGCAAACTATCTGAAGAAAAGAAATCCAATATACAATAACTAAATAAAATAAAATTAGGAAAAAATTTAATCAAAAGGGGGAGATTTATGCAATTAATGCTATAAAATATTCATGAAATAAATTATAAGGACACAAATAAATGGAAACACATCCTGTGTTCATGGATGTGAATAATTAACATTGTTAAAACATTCATACTACCAAAGCAATCCATAGATTCAATGGAATCTGTCAAAATACTTATGACATTCTTCACAGAAACAAAAAAAAAACTTAAATTTTATATTAAACCGTAAAGACCCTGAAATGCCAAAGAAATACTGAACAAAAAAGAGCAAAGCTGGAGGCATCACACTACCTGACTTCAAAATATATTACAAAGCTATTGTAAACAACACAGCATGGTAGTGGCATATAAATAAGCACCTTGCCTAATGAAACAAATTAAATAGTAGAGAAATCAATCCATAGACTTAGAGTCAACTGATTTTAAACAAAGGATCCAAGAACACACATTGGTGAAAGGATAGTTTCTTCAATAACTGGTGTTGGGTAAAACGGATATCAGCATGCAGAAAAATGAAACTAGACTTGTATCTCTCACCCTATAAAAAATGATCTCAAAATGGATCAAATTCATATATGTAAGACCCAATATGATAAAACTACTAGAAGACCACATAGACAAAATAGTTTAGGACATTGGAATAAACACAAGGTTTTTTGGATAAGACTTCAAAAGCACAGAAAACGAAAGCAAAAATAGACAAATAGGATTATGTCAAACTAAAATGCTTCTCCACAGCAAAGAAACCAATAATAAAACAATCAACAGGGTAAAGAGACAAACTGTATAATGCAATAAATATTTGAAAACTGTAATAGTTAACAGCCCATTCTCACACTGCTATAAAGAAATATCTGAGATTTGGTAATTTATAAAGAAAAGAGGTTTAATTGGCTCATGGTTCCACAGGCTGTTTAGGAAGCATGAATGGGGAGGCCTCAGGAAACTTTGAATCATGGCAGAAGGCAAAGGGGAAGCAAGCATGTCTTACATGGTCAGAACAGGAGGAAGACAGCGAAACAGGAGATGCTACACACTTTTAAACAACCAGATCTCGTGAGAACTCACTCACTATCATGAGAACAGCAAGGGAGAAATCTGATCCCACGATCCAATCACCTTCAACCAGGCCCCTCCTTCAATATTGGGGATTACAATTTGATATGAGATTGGGATGGGGACAAGAATCCAAACCACATCAAAAACTACGCACCTGACATGAAGTTAATTACTACAATATTTTAGGAACTCAAACAAATCAATAGCGAAAATAAAAGTAATCTGATTTTAAAATGTGCAAAATACCTGAATGGACATTTCTCAAAAGAAAACATACAAGTGGCTAAGAGGTATGTGAAAAAATGTTCAATATCACCAATCATCAGAGAAATTACAATCAAAACAACAATAGAATATCAGCTTATCCCCATTAGAATAGCTATTATGAAGAAGATAAAACATCAAAAATGCTAGCAAGGATGTGAAGGAGAACACATACACTGTTGGTGGGGGCGTACATAAGTACAGCCATAATTGGAAACTGTATGGAGGTTCCTCAACAAATAAAAAATGGAACTAACATATGATCCAGAAATTATACTATTTGGTGTATATCAAAGGAAATAAAATTAGTATGTCAAAGAGATATCTGTTCTACCATCTTTATTATGGCATTATTTCCAATAGTCAGGAAATGTAATCAACCTAGATGTTCAATAAAGATAAATGGATACAGAAAATATGGACAGGCTAAGCAAGATGGCAGAACAGAAGGCTCCAGCAATAATCCCCAACAGAAGGATACCAATTTAACAACTATCTACACAGAAAAAAAAAAAAAAAAACAGAAGAACCAAAAATTAGGTGAGCCCTCATAGTACCTGGTTTTATTCTCGTATTGCTGACAGAGGTACTGAAGAGAGAATAAACAATACTGATTTGCCAACAATGCCCCTCCCCCACACCCCAGCTGCAGTGACCTGGTGCAGAGAGTGTCTCTGGGCATTGAGGGAGGGAGAATACAGCAGCGGTTAGGCATTGAACTCAATGCTGTCCTGTTAAAGCAGAAAGAAAAACAGGACCAAACTCAGCTGACATCAGCCCACAGAGGTAGCATTTAAACCAGCCTTAGCCAGAGGAGAATCTTCTATGCCCACAGTCCAAACTTGAGTGTCTGCAAACCTCACCACTGAGGACTGCAGTGATCTGTGTCTATAAATGAACTTAGAAGTGAGTGTAGGCCATAAAAACTGCAACACTTAGTTGAGTCCCAGTGCTGAACTAGGCCTAGAGACAGTGGATTGGGTGGAGTGGGGGGGGAAACTTATTCAGACACCAGCTGGGGCAGCCAACAGAGTGATTACATCACGTCTTCCGTAACCACACAACTCACAGATCCAAGGCAGATCCCTTCCTTCTGTTTGAGGAGAGAAATAAGTGGGGAGGACTTTGTCTTGCATCCAGGACACCAGTTTGGCGACAGCGTGATAGGGCACCAGTTAGAGTTGTGTCTGGCACTTAAACCCTCTCACTTGCTCTCCTGCCACCTTGTGAAAAAGGTGCCTGCTTCTCCGTCATGATTGTAAGTTTTCCAGGCCTTGCCAGCCATGCAGAACTGTGCGTCAATGAAACCTCCTTTGTTTGTAAATTACCCAGGCTCAGGTAGTATTTTCATAGCAGCGTGAAAACGCACTAATACAAATACTTAACTGAGAACCTAGTTTAGGTCTGTTGGTATATAGTGAGAAAACATAAAAACTACTAAAGGGATAAAATAAAAACTAGAATTAGATCTTTTTCCTGGATGTATAGCTCTATTTTTATCGTTTGGATTACCTTTGGCAATCTCACTTTACCTTAGTATGCTAGGCATTCCTAACAAGAGCATCATGTATAGCTGCGTACAAAAGAGATACTAACTTAAGCATAGATATGGCATGATTTAAGTTGTAACTAAATTAATTGTGAAACACATGAGAGGGAATCTAAATATTGCTATTCCTGGATCAAACAGGCAATGCATATCCTTTATATACTTAACCATGTTTTTTGATCTATATCTTAGAATCTGTAAAATATATTAATACTTCTACCTTAACAATAATGCATTATTTTGTGTAGTCATATAACACTAGATGAGTGCCAGCTGTGAACACAATACAAAAAATAACAAAATCTCTCACCTGGCTTTCTAGAATATTCAAAATCACCCTCTATTTTTCTCTCTTGAACTTTCCACCAGGTTCTTTTTATTGCTCCAGTAAAGTTGAAGGTTTTATAGAGTTTTAGTTTTCAGTATCCAGATCCTTTCCCTCCTTAGTGGAATTTACACCTAAGTATTTAATTTTTTGGTTGCTACTATAAATCACATTGTTTGCTTAATTTTCTTTTCAGATTGTTACTAATACATAGAAGTTCCACTAATTTTTAATGCTGATTTTGTATCCTGCACCTATACTCAATTTATTTATCATTTCTACAAGTTTTTTGGTAGAGTCTTTAGGACTATTGACTGCTTCTCCTATGCCCCATTCCTTTGACCTCCAGCTCACCCAACACAGCTTACAAAAACATTATAAGAGGGAGAAGCATAGTACATTGCAGTTAATGCAATGCACTTTGGAACCACTGTTTAGTTTTGTGATTTGGGGCAAGAAATATAGCCCCCTATATGCTTCACTTTCCCCACCTCACTGAGTTATCAGGATAATTAAATCAAATTAATAACTCATTTGTAAAGCACTTAGAACAATTTCAGGCACATAACAGGTATTATGCAGAAAGTTTTTAAATCAACAAATAAGTCTTTCCAGGCTTAGCATAGACATTACCCCCTCTAAGACTCTTTTTATAATTTTGCTCTCAGAAAACCAGGTTACATGCCCCTTCCCTTTAAATTCCTCCTCCGTGTGCTCTGGCTTCTCATTGTATTCATCACACTATAATATAGTTGTCAATTGTTCTTAGGCTTTTGTTCTTCAGCTGATCAATGCAAGTTTCCTTATGGCAGGAACTTTATCTTTTTTCCATCTGTCAGATCCCCAGTGCCTAGAATAGTACCAAGTGCAGACACATGTAACTAAAAACAATTCTTGAATGAATTCTCTAAATTCTTCATATGCTAAGATTCTCACTCCTTTTATATGCCCATCTGTTATAGTACTTCACATTATAGATACTCAGTAATAATGACATTAATAGTAATTAGAGTAATCAATGTATATCTGTCACAAGCTATCTTAGTCTGTTTTGTGCCGATACAATACCTGAGACTGGGTAATTTATAAATAAAAACATATTTTTCTCACAGTTCTGGAGGCTAGGAATTTCAAGATCAAGTCATCAGCATCTGATGAAGGTCTTCTTGCCATATCGTCACATGGTGGAAGTGAAAATTTCTCTATTTGTTGATGACATAATCTTACTTAAGAAAACCCTAAAGACTCTACCAAAAAACTGTTAGAAATGATAAGTAAATTGAGTATAGGTGCAGGATACAAAATCAGCCTTAAAAATTAGTGGCACTTCTATGTATTAGTAACAAACACTCTGAAAAGAAAATTAAGTAAGCAATATGATTTATAGTAGCAACCAAAAAATTAAATACTTAGGTGTAAATTCCACTAAGGAGGTAAAGGATCTGGGTACTGAAAACTGTAAAACACTGATAAAATATATTTAAAAGACACAAATGGAAATAATTCCCATGTTCATTATTACTATGAAAATGTCCATATTACTTGAAGCAATCGAAAGTCTCATTGCAATCCTTATGAAAGGGTCAATGCCATTTTTAACATAAATGAAAAATAAATGTTACGGGATCTTTTGGTATCACTTTTCTGGCTGGACATCTCTGTGGCCAGGGGCATCTTTGCCCAAGTTCTTGTCCTGCATCCAGGAAGAATGAGATATGCACAGAAGTGGATAGTGAGCAAGACGAAAAGGAGCTTTATTGAGTGTTACAACAGCCCAGAGGGGACCTGCAGTGGGTAGCTCCACTCTAAAGCTGGTTGTCCTGATGTCTGCTGCTCTCAGCAGAGAGGAGGCCCTGGAGAGGCTGGCTCCCCTTACAGGCAGGTCATCCCAATATCTGCAGCTCTCAGGGGAGAGGAGGCCCTGGAGAGGGTACCTCCTCTCTGCAGGTGGTTGTCCTGATGTCTGCAGCTCTCAGCAGAGAGGAGGCCCTGGAGAGGGCAGCTTCTCTCTGCAGCTGGTTGTGTTGATGTCTACTCTGCTCTGGCTGGGTCAGGGCTTTTTATGGTCTTCAGAGAGAGAAAGTACATGCTAATTGTTCCACGGACAACCACGGGTGGGCCCAGAAAAAAGCATCACCAGTCCACCTCCGGTCCACAGGATTGGCAGACCAGTTCCCAGGCACAGGCCTTCCCTGGCCTGAAGGTGGGGCTTCACTGGGGGCGCACCCTCAAAAACTGCCCAGGAGTCTGTCTCTCACTGCCATTCTGGTGCCCAGGCTGCTTGTGCCAAGTGGCACCTGCAGGCCAGCACTGTGCTGCCCTCAACTCCCCCCCCCACCTTTGGCTTTCCTCCTATGCTTGTCAGTGCCCAAAATCCAGAGGGGGCGAAGGTGGCAGGGGGCTAGTGTGTCAGCGCTGCCCTGAGCATGCACCCACCCAGGTAGGCTGCAGCAGTACTCAGCTCAGCCCAACCTTGCTCCAAGATTAGAGCAGGCTCTGGGAGAGGGGAGAGGCCAGGCAGCAGAAGAAGGCAACTCTGAGTCTGGGGGGTGGGGGCACAGAGACCTTTGCATTTCCCCAAGAGCACAGAGGTGTCTGGGTCTGCAGCCTGGCTTGGGCAGCTGCAGCTGCATCCAAGGACCTCTTGCCTAGCCAGTTCCAAAAGGGTGGGGCTCCCGCTTGTCCACAGCTCCCACTGGCTCTGTGGAGCATGCATTTCCAGCCACACCTCTGATATCGGAGCAGACACCGACAGTGGGGAGAAGCCAGATTGTGGGAGAAGGCACTTCTGAGCATGCTGGGGGCAGGGGAACCTCCCAGGCACCCAATAGCACAGAGACACTCAGGTCTGGAGCTGTGGTAGGGCTCCAGCCTTCTCTGTGGAATAGGAGGCCTGAGCCTGGGGGCATGGGGTTCCTGCCTGCTCCATGGAGTGTACAGTCCTGGCCACAACTGCCTACTGCAGTGGCATCTTGGCAATGGCCACTCCAGATGGGCCACTGCTGCCATCAAAAATACTCCAATTGCTATGGAACCACAAGAGACTACATAGCCAAAACAGTCTTGAGCAAAGAGAACAACGCTGAAGGCATCACACTCCTTGATTTAAAAATATATTACAAAGCTACAGTAATCAAAGCAGCAGGGTACTGGCACAAACACAAAACACAGACAAATGGAACAAAATAGGAAACCTAGAAATAAACTAAACCATATATAGTCAACCGATTTTGAAAAAGGTACCAAGAACATACAATGGGGAAAGGAGAATCTCGTCAATAAATGGTATTGAGAAAACTGGATATCCACATGCAGCAGAATGAAATTTGACCCTTTTCTTACACCATATAAAAAATTGAATCAAAATGAATTGAAGATGTATTTTTTTAACTTTTATTTTACATTCAGGAGTGTACGTGCAGGATGTGCAATTTTGTTACATAGGTACACATATGTCATAAGGGATAGTTGTACAGATTATTTTATCACCCAGGTATTAAGTCTGCTATCCATTAGTTATTTTTCTCTCACCTTCCCCCCTCCGATAGACCCCAGTGTGCATTGTTCTCCTCTATGTATTGATGTGCTCTCATCGTTTAGCTCCCACTTATAAGTGATAACATGCTGTATTTGGTTTACTGTTCCTGCTTTAGTTTGCTAAGGATAATGGCCTCCAGCTCTATCCATATCCCTGCAAGGGACATGTTCAAAGACATAAATACAGAAATACCATTTGATTCAGCAATCCTGTTACTGTGTGTGTATACACCCAAAGGAATAGAAATTACTCTATTATAAAGACACACACATGTATGTTTACTGCAGCACTATTTACAATAACAAAGACATGGAATCAACCTAAATGCTCATCAATGATAGACTGGATAAATAAAATGTAGTACATATACACAATGCAATACTATGCAGCCATAAAAAATGAACACTTAAATAGAACACCTGAAACTGTAAACCTAATTCTAAAAAATCATGAGGAAATAGCTCCATGACATTGCTGTAGTAATGACTGTTTGGATATAATCCTGAACACATGGACAACGAAAACAAAAGTTAGACCAGTGGAATGGCATCAAACTGAAATGCCTCTGCACGGCAAAAAAGAAAACTCACAAAGTGAAAAGACAACCCACAGAATGAGAGAAATGTTTGCAAATCATATATCTGATAATCTGTTAATACCCAAATTATATATGGAACTCAAAGAACTCAATAGCAAGAAGCAAATAACTTCATTAAAAAGTGGGCAAAAAACCTGATGGTCTGTTTGTGCTCTTTCACACTTTTTGATGTAGGCTTTTAGGGCTATCAACTTTCCTCTTAGCACCACCTTTGCTGTATTCCAGAGGTTTTGATAGGTTCTGTCACTATTATTGTTCAGTTCAAAGAATTTTTAAATTTTCATCTTGATTTCATTGTTGACACAATCATCATTCAGGAGCAGGTTATTTAATTTCCATGTATTTGCATGGTTTTGAAGGTTCCTTTTAGAGTTAATTTCCAATTCTTTCCACTGTGGTCAGGGAGAGTACGTGATATAATTTCAATTTTCATAAATTGATTGAGACTTGTTTTGTGGCCTATCATATGGTCTACCTTGGAGAATGTTCCATACATTGATGAACAGAATGTGTATTCTGTGGTTGTTTCATAGAATTTTCTGTAAATATCTGTTAAGTCCATTTGTTCCAGGGTATAGTTTAAATCCATTGTTTATGTGTTGACTTTCTGTTATTATAACCTTTCTAGTGTTGCCAGTGGAGTATTGAATTCCCCCACTATTATTGTGTTTCTGTCTATCTCATTTCTTAGGTCTTGTAGTAATTGCTTTATAAATTAGGGAGCTCCACCACTGGTGCATATATTTAAGATTTTGATACTTTCATGTTGAACAAGGCTGTTTATCTTTATATAATGTCCCTCTTTGTCTTTTTTAACTGCTGTTGCTTTAAAGTTTTTTTTTTTTTTTTTGGTCTGACATAAGAATAGCTATTCCTACTCACTTTTGGTGTCCATTTGCAAGCAATGTATTTTTCCACCTCTTTAGCTTATGTTTATGTAAGTCCTTATATGTTAGGTGAGTCCCTTGAAGGCAGCAGACGGTTGGTTAATTCTTATCCATTCTGTGATTCTGTGTCTTTCAAGTGGAGCATTTAAGCCATTTACATTCATCATTTGTAGTGAGATGTGAGGTGCTCTTCTCCTCATCATGCTATTTGTTGGCTAAATACCTTTTTAAAAAATTATTATTGTGTTGTTGTTTTATAGGTCCTATGAGATTTATGCTTTAAGAAGGTTCTATTTTGATGGGTTTCCAGGATTTCTTTCAAGATTTAGAGCCCCTTTTAGCAGTTCTTGCAGTGCTGGCTTGGTAGCAGCAAATTCCATCAGCATTTGCTTGTATGAAAAAGACTGTATCTTTCTTTTTTTTTTTTTTTTTTTTTTTCTTTGAGACTGAGTCTCGCACTATCGCCCAGGCTGGAGTGCAGTGGTGCAGTCTCAACTCACTGCAACCTCTGCCTCCAGGGTTCAAGCAATTCTCCTACCTCAGCCTCCCGAGTAGCTGAGATTACCGGCACCCACCACCACGCCTGGCTAATTTTTCTTTTTTTTTTTTTTTTTTTTTTTTTTATAGTAGAGATGGGGTTTCACCATGCTGGTCAGGCTGGTCTTGAACTACTGAACTTATGATCCGCCCACCTCAGCCTCCCAAAGTGCTGGAATTACAGGCGTGAGCCACCATGCCTGGTCATCTTTCATTCATTTATAAAGCTTAGTTTCACGGAATACAAAATTCTTGGCTTATAGTTGTTTTGTTTAAAAAGGCTGACGATAGGACACCCATTCCTTCTAGCTTGCAGGGTTTCTGTTGAGAAATCCTCTGTTACTCTGATAGGTTTTCCTTTATAGATTACTTTGTGCTTTTGCCTCATAGCTCTTAATAATCTTTCCTTAATCTTGACTGACTTTAAATAACCTGATGACTATGTGTCAAAGCGATGATCTTTTTGCGATATATTTCCCAGTTGTTTTTTGAGCTCCTTGTATTTAGATGTCTAGATCTCTAGCAAGGCCAGAGAAGTCTTCCTCGATTATTTCTCCAAATAAGTTTTTCAAACTTTTACATTTCTCTTCTTCCTCAGAATGCCAATTTTTCTTAGGGTTTGTCATTTAACATAATCCCAAACATCTTGGAGGCTTTGTCATTTTTTTTAAATTCTTTTTTCTTTGTCTTTGTCAGATTGGGTTATTTCAAAAACCTTATCTTCAAGCTCTGAAGTTCTTTTTTCTGCTTGTTTGATTCTATTGCTGAGAGTTTCCAGTGCATTTTGCATTTGTATAAGTTTAGATTTTCTATTGCTTAGTAGGTTGGCTATGGTTAACAATAGTGTATTGTATATTTCAAAATAGCTAGAAGAAAGAACGTTAAATGTTTTAGTAACAAATAAATGATATGCATTTGAGGTGGTAAATGTGCTAAATACTCTGATTTGATTACTACACACTGTATATATGTATCAAACCATCACACTGTACTCCATATATATGTACAATTATTATGTGCTAATTAATAACAAATAAAAACCTAAAAAAGATTTGCTTGTTTTCGTTTTTAGTCAAATAATCACAATTTAGAATTATTTATATGTTCTGTTATTTATTCTATTCATTTCTGCTTTTGTATTTATTAATACTTTCCTTCTGCTTTTTTTATTTTTTCTTATCTTAGCCAGATGTCTATTTCAATTATCTGTTTTTTTACTGATATACACATTTAAGGTTATTGATTTTTCTCTGATTACTCCATTAGCTGTCCTCTACAGGCCCTAATACTGTTATTATAATTAATTTGTATGAATTTTTAAATTTTTTTATTGCCTATTTTACCCAAGAATTTACTTTTTAATTGTTTTTCTAAATTTGGGATGTAAGACTCTTTGTGTATTCTGTAATCAAATAATTTTATCTATCTTTATTTCTACTTTTTGAAGAGACAATATGTAGCATTATACACTCTAATTTTATGACTATTCAAAGGACACTTTTGAAGAATACATAATTAAATATGTAATAATCATGCAGAGCCTCTGTTTGCAATTTGTCTTAGGCCTGAAAATTTTAGGCAGGGTGCTGTCTGCTTTTATTCTAACACTTTTCATTATTTGGTACTATCTTTCTTCATCTTTATTACATTATATTATATATTATATTATATATTATTATAATATATAGTTATATATTATTTCAGGAGATTGTAAGCTCCATGAGGGTAAGAATCATGTTTTCCTTATTCATAACTACACCTTTACCACCCAAAAGTGTGCTGGGAACATAGTAAAAGTTGTATAAATATTTGTTAAGTGAATGTATATTTCTAGAACAGGAAATTCTAGGTCATAGGCAAGCTCTACAGGCTAAGAGAACTTTGAAAGCCAGAAAATAGAAACTTCATTAGGTATTTCAGATGTAAATTAAAGACTCTGATATTGGCTTTTGAACATATTGTGGGGAGTGACAGCTATTTTTCAATAAAAACCTTCTCTCTGTTTCATAAAGTCAGTAATTTTACCTGAGTAAAATATTAAGTGTCCTACTCTCAGTCTTGATTATTTATGGCCAGGTCACTAGATTACCTCAAAAGAAAAATTAGTGGAAACAATCTGTGTAATTTCTGACTCACTTACTTAAAAGGAATTTTGTCGCCCTGAACTTCCTCTTTTTGTCTGTCCTGTGAACCAAATTAGAGATGTGACTATGAGGCAGCCTTGAGCTTGCAGAAGAGTTGTCTTAGTTTTTCCTGTTTAGCCTTTAAAAGTGTTTGCATATTTTTACATTGACACATAAAATTTTTCATACTTGTATAAAGTGAGAAAGACATATTTAAAATACTGAAATTTTAAAACGAACAGTTTACATCAGTCACGTAATTATGTCAAGTGGAATTTAAATACATTAAATCACTTATTTTATGCTGACCCTGAAAGATACAGAGAGCCTGGAGTCACCCATTATTGCTGTTGCTGCCAGAGCCAATGGTTACAAGCACTACACTACCAAGACTGGTGGAGCATCAGCTGCCATAATGTCCCCTGGAACTTTAATGTCAAGCAGAACCTGGAATACTAGGTTGTCCATCCTGCTTCTGACATTCTCAAAGGCATTATAAGAAACCCAAGAAAAGAAAGAAAAATGTCTTTCTTTCTTCTGCCTTTCATTCTCCCTCTGTGCCTCCAATAGACACATCCTGAATAAAAGCTAACTGGCAAGAATGTCAGGAAATTAGTTTGCAAGTGTCCAACACCCTGCAATACAAAAAGAGGCATGAAAGGATGGAAATAAAGCAAATAGAAATGCCTAACACAGTCCACGAACCTGGCTGCTTAGAATCCATTCTTACCATCTTCTCTCACTTAAAATTCTATGTAACAAAAAATAACAAGAACATTGTGCTTCTATAACAGTTCTTTATGAAAACAAAGATTGTCTCACACTCTCCCACCAAAAATGAAGACTCAAAACCTCAGAATCCAACACTGTAAGATGTTAATTCTTCTAATTCAGTATTTATCCCACAGGTATATTATTTCATCTAAATTTTAAATTATAAAATTAACCACTACAAGTATATCCTAAACAAAATAATAGGGGAGATGGAGAAAGAAAATATTTCTATAAGTATGAAAACTCATGTGCAGACCTACTTTGTTTCTTGTTTCTATAACAGCCATGAGACCATAGCTGATCACCAGAATGGTTGGTTAAAAGTAAAGAGAACATAGATTCATAATGAGCCGTCCTACCCTTTTTATTAAATTTTACTGTTGCATATAGAAGTACTAAGAAATATGAGTAACTGGAATTAATCACCTCACCCAGGAGTTTAACTCCTCCTTCATCTGTCAATTGAGTGTCATAAGGACCAAAAATGTCCAGGTGGAAGTCTTACTATCCAAATGAATAAAACCATTGTTGTGCCTACTGGTAGAAATATTCACTTCATGCAAACTGAAACATTTGAATCAGCAGAGCTTAAAACTGCCAGAACATAAACCAAAAATTATGTTATTAGGTTGTTAGCTGTCTTGGTGAGAGGAATCACACCTACTTCCAACCTTCATCCACAGCCCTTCATTCATTGTTACTTCATTAGTAACAAAATAGTTTCTCTGCTCTTTCCAATATATTCACTAAATTCTAGTCACCATGTTGATTTGAATATATAAACAAGGTCTTGCTTATAAGAAAAAGCATGGATATCTTTAAACTTTTTTCTCTTTGAATGTTTGTTACCACTTAATTCATAACAGAATTGTATCCTAATTACATATATTTTATGTTTAAAAGTCATACTCATTGGAAATGTCTTAGTATCCTATAACTCTAAACTTTAACTTTTAAAAATCACACATGTACTAAGTTGTCATTGTAATTCTTAGTATAGCATTGATCAAAACAACAAAATTAAACTACAAATTTGATACATTACAATTAAACATGGAAAGAAAATGCATGTTATTGAGATGAATAGAGCATTTTTTAAGTAATTCATTTATTTGTGAAAAAATCCCTTATTAAATGAATGTCATTTTTTGAGCTTTGAATAAAACAGGGTTCTGCAACTATTCATTTGTGCCATTTTATTTGCTTCTATAGACACATTCTGAGAAAAGTTGTGACACAATTATTTAAAAACATTCTCTGAGTAATATAAAAACAATTTGTCAGCTGAAAACTCCAATGCATCTCTTTCAGTTTTGCTTTAAAAAAGAAACGAAAATCACCTTGCTTAGTCAGTCTTTTCACTCATTCAATTTCTCAACACTATCACCAGTATTTCAAATCATTCCCTCATTTGGTACTCTGGTAGTTTTTAATAACTTTGGGAGAATACATCATAGTAATAAAAAGTGGTGAGAGGTGTGACACCTTCTTTTTTTAAAATTGGATAGAGAATCGAGAAGTAAGAGGTGTCAGAAAAAGTGCCATGAAGGAAATTACATTGATGTAATGGTGGCATCCAGGTTTACTGCCAAGTAAGTTATCCCAGAAGTCATGGAACACAAAGGCCCACATAACAAATTAAATGCAGGCGTATCTTGGACATACTTCAGGTTTCATATCAGACCACATAAATAAAGTAAATATCACAATAAAACAAGTCACCATTGTTTTTTGTTTCTTCAGTGCATATGAAGTTTACACTATACTGTATTAAGTGGGCAATAGCATTGTCTAAACCATGTACATATCTTAATTAAAAATACTTTATTGCTGATAAAACACTAACAATCATCTGAGACTCCAGTGAGCCATTATCTTGCTGCTGAGGGGAGATCTGGCTTTGATGTTGATGTATGCTGCCTGATGAGGGTGATGGTTGCTGAAGGTTGGGGTGATTGTGGCAATTTCTTAAAATAACATGACGATGTTTGTCACATTGATGGACTTTGCCTTGAATGATTTACAGAAAGATTTTTCTGTAACATGCAATGCTGTTTTATAGCATTTTACCCACAGTAAAACTTCTTTAAAATTGGAGTCAACCCTCTCAAACCCTGCCACTGCTTTATCAACTAAGTTTATGTAGTATTCAAAATACTTTGTTGTCTTTTTAACAATGTTCACAGCATCTTCACCAGTAGATTCCATTTTAGGAAACCATGTTCTTCACTCATTCTTAAGAGGTACTCTTCATGCTTTCAAGATTTATTATAAGATTTCTGCCATTCAGCCATATATTCAGGATCCACTTGTAATTCTAGTTCTCTTGCTATTTCTACCACATCTGCAGTTGCTTCTGCCACTGAAATATTGAGCCCATAAAAGTCATCCATGAGGGTTAGAATTAACTTCATTAAACTTCTGTTAATGTTGATATTCTGACCTCCAACGGATCACAAATATTTTTAATGGCATTTAGAATAATGAATCTTTTCCAGGAAGTTTTTAATTTACGTTTCCCAGAGGAATTTTTAGATATGGCACCTATAGCCTTACAAATGTCTTTCTTAAATAATGAGACTTGCAAGTAGAAATTATTCCTTGATACATGGGCTAAAGAAGGGATGTTTTGTTAGCAGGCATGAAAACAACATTAATTTCCTTATACAGTTCCACAAGAGCTGTTGGGTTACCAAGTGAATAATTAATACGCAGTAATATTTTTAAATTAATCTTTTGTTCTGAGCAGCGTATCACAACAATGGGCTTAAAATATTCAGTCAACCATGCTGTAAGGAGATGTCATCCAGGCTTTGTGGTCCCATGTATATAGCACAGACAGAATAGATTTAGCATTAATTCTCAAGAGCCCTAGAATTTTCAGAACAGTAAATGAGCATTGGTTTCAACTTAAAGTCACCAACTGCATTAGCCCCTAACAAGAGAGTGAGCCTGTCCTTTTAAGCTTTGAAGCCAGGCATCAACTTCTCCTTTCTAGCTGTAAAAATTCTAGATGGCATCTTCTTTTCATAGAAGGCTGCTTCATCTATATGGAACATCTGTTGTTTATTGTAGCCACCTTCATCGTTATCTTAGTGAGAGCTGGAAAATTTGCTGAAGCTTCTACACTTGCTTCTTCACATTGTGCTTTGATGTCAGGGAGACATCTTTACTTAAAAGTCATACTGGCTTCAAATTTTTCTTCTGCAGCTTTCTTGGCTCTCTTTGCTTTCATAGAATTGAAGGGAGTTAGGGGCCTTGCTCTGAATTAGGCTTTGGCTTAAGGGAATGTTGAGGCTAGTTTTTGATCTTCTATTCAGACCACTCAAACTTTCTCCCCATCAGCAAAAAAGGTTGTTTTGCTTTCTTATAATTCATGTATTCACTTGAGTAGCACTTATAATTTTCTTCAAGAACTTTTCCTTTTTATTCACAGCTTGGCTAATAACATGTTGCAAGGGGTCTATCGTGGCTTTCAACATGCCTTCCTCACTAAGGTTAATGATTCCTAGCTTTTGATTTAAAGTGAGAGATGTGATTCTTCCTTTCACTGAAACACTTAGATGCCATTATAGGGCTCTCAGTTGGCCTAATTTCAACATTGTTTTGTCTCAGGCCTGAGGAGATGAAGAGAGATAGGGGCACAGCCTGTGGGTTGAGCAGTCAGAACACACACCACATTCACTGATTAAGTTTACCATTTTATATGGGCATAGTTTGTGGTACATCAAAACAATTACTAGAATAATTGCTTTGAATCACTGATCAAAGGTCATCAGAATATATAATAAAAAATTGTAAATATAAGAATTACCAAAATATTACACAGAAATATGAAGTCAGCACATTCTGTTGGGAAAAAGGCACTGATTGATTGCTGGATGCAAGATTGACACAAATGTTCAATTTGTAAAAAACACATTATCTGTGAAAGACAAGAAAGTGAAGCACAATAAAAGGAGGCATGCCTGTATTCTGAATTTTGACTATGTCTTATAAATTACTTGCTTATCCAATGTCAATACTTAACATATGTATATGAGTTGTTCTGATATACTAACTACTATTGACTATCCGTAACACTTCTCATGAATCATATTTATTTATTTTTTGTTTTTATTCACCCCATTTGTGAGGAAGGAATTCCCTCCCTAGGGTTATTGAGACAGCCGAACACACAACATCTGATACTAAATAAATGATATCCACAGCAATTTATTGGTCACATATACTCAAAGCCTGGAAGAGGAAGGCATCACAGGCCACATGGGGTTGGGGTTTGCATTCAAGAACAAAGTAAACAACCAGGGACTATGGGAAGCAGGCTTCCTAGGATCAAGAGGGTACACTGCTCCCTATTTCCAGTAGAAAAAAACGATTGGCTTGTTTAAATAATTCTGAGGCCATGAGAGAACTGAAACCCCATACTTAGAGATAAGTGGATACTCCACCTGGTCCACTTAGTAAGAGGATGTTTTGGCTAGAAGAACTTAATTGAAACAAAGTATGTAGTTTCAACTGGAAACATGTAACTCCATTCAGTAACTAAAACATGTTTTTAATATTCCAAAGATTTTGGATTACTACTATCAAAGATGTACAGACTTAATAGTACAATAACTGTAGATGCACATTTTTACTTCATCATCTCTCAAGATGTTGATTGCTTTTGTCTACTCTTGTTTAGGAAGTTTGTGGCCATGTAAAATAGGTGTTTTTTAACAACAAAAATATGTTTTTAGCTCTACTTTTAAGAAATTAAAATTTTGTCCAAAATTGATAGATAATGAGATGATAATAAAGGAGCCACTATGTCTTTATATAAATATATTGTTAAGCCAATATAATTGCCGTGAATTTTAATAGGGCCAACTTACTGTGGTCTTACAGATTTTTTGTTGCCTCACATTTTCTTTCTTATGAAAGTTAAAAAGTTTGGAAGAATGCACTCTTTTGATGAGGATAAAGATGGAGTAACTTGAGTTAGAAAAAGAACGAAATGTCATTTGTAATTGATGGCAATTAGAAACACCTGATTAAATTCAGAGACGTGTTGATCATTTTGTCCCTTCAATTATTTCAGTGTTTGCTTATTATTAAACAGGACTGGAAAACAAAGTAATTACTGACATAATTGTGATTTTTATTTTATGGAACTTGCAAGTTTAAACATTTATGACAAGATGAAACTAAAGACAGAAAATCTCAAGGAAGAAATAGTTGTCAGGCATTTTGCAAGTTTGTGTGCCGAATTCTATTTTTTACTGATATTCCTTGAATTATTAGCAAAAAAGGTAAGCAATATCCAAAGGCAGAATGGCTCTAAATAGCCTTTTCTGGGGAATTCAGTAGCTCTTAGGTCCTTTATATAGACATCTCCTTACTGAGTGCAAACTGTGAAAGAATCAAAGGTAGTATTGTCACTCTGCAATATATAAGATTTTTTATACACATGAACATACCTTCCTACAGTAGTCGATATATGAAAAGTTTATTTCCTCCAATCTTCACCAATAATAAATATAGTCTTCAAAGGTGTTTTTGTGGTCATTTTCCCACTGAAAAAGTACAATTTATACTGTTACAATTTGTACTTCTGTTATTACTATTGAATGATAGCGTATTTCATGTATGGTTTTTTCTGATTCTTTTCTCAATGAATTAGATGAATACTACTGTACTGTAACTTATTAGAACTCTCTTATTTTAATATTTTGTAGAGAAATTTTCTACTGTTTAACTTTTTATTTATTCCTGGCTATGTTTAGGAATGTTTTTCCAGATAATCTTCAGAATATTTTTGTTAGTTCTCAAGCGCTATTGAAATTGTTAATGGAATTTCTTACCTATACATTAATTAGGGAGTAATTTGGAATGTTAAAATATTATCTTTCCATCCCAGGCACAAACCTCCACTCTACGTTCCAATAAAGTTACATGTATGTAAAGCTTTTTGTTAGTGCTCAAATGCTATTGAGATTTTTACTGGAATTTCTAACCTATACATTAACTAGAGAGGATTTCAGAATGTTAAAATATTGTCTTTCCATGCCAAGCACATGCCTTGACTATACATTCAAATAAAGTTATACACACATAAAGACTTTTCATATATTTTGTTAAATGTGTTATTAAACAATTTTACTTTTTTTTGCTGTTTTTGTTATGTTTTTCAGTGATTTTTTCTGTATCCAACCAGATTACACACATTTTGTATGAGTTCTAAGAATTCAGCTAGGCGCAGTGGCTCACGCCTGTAATCCCACACTTTGGGAGGCTGAGGCAGGCAAATCACGAGGTCAGGAGATCGAGATCATCCTGGCTAACATAGTGAAACCCCATCTCTACTAAAAATACAGAAAATTAGCTGAGTGTGTTGGCATGCGCCTGTAGTCCCAGCTACTCAAGAGGCTGAGGCAGGAGAATCGCTTGAACCCGGGAGGCGGAGGCTGCAGTGAGTGGAGATCGTGCCACTGCACTCCAGCCTGGGTGACAGAACGAGACTCCGTCTCCGAAAAAAAAAAAAACAGAATTCAGTTGATTTTCTTGAATTTTCTAGGTAGAAAATATCCTATGCAAATAAAGATATTATCTCCCACTTTCAATTAGTTTACTTATTTTTATAATTTTGTTATGTGAATCAGAACTTCCCAGATAATGTAAATTAATGAGGTGATTATTAGACTCTGCATGTAATCTTTGATTTGCAACATACATTTTCTATATTTTCTTTGGAACAAATGATATTCATCATAATTTAAAGACAGATTTCTTTGATTTTGTTAAGAAAGGAAGATTTTATTTGAAGAGAGCTTACATTTGAAAGTTATATTGAATTTTATTAAATGTCTCTTTGTCATCTGATTTATTCGGAATAATAATCCTTTAACCCATTGATACTGTGATTACTATATTAAGTCTTATTAAGCTGTAATGTTATGAATAAACCAATTGGACATGAAAAATTATTTTTATTGTATTTATCTTTCTCATATTTCATTTAGGAATTTTGCATGTATATATATTAGTGGTATTGGTCTTTATCTGTGAGCTTTTTTATAGGTATAAATGAATTGGAAAAACTTATTTCTCTTTTTTCACGTTTACTGAGGTATAATTGGCAAATAAAAATTGTATATGTTTAAGGTGTACAACGCGATGTTCTGATATATGTACAGATTGTGAAATAATTGCCACAAACAAGCTAATTAACATATCCATCACCCCGCATATTTATTCTTTTATTTTTCCTTTTATTTTTTGTGGTGACCACACTTGATTTACACCTTTAGCAAATTTCAAGTACACAATGTAATGTTGTTAACTATACTCACATTGCTGTACATTAGATCTCCAGGGCTAATTCATTTTGCATAACTAAAAATTTGTACCCTTTGACAAATATCTCCCGTATTCTCCGCATTCACTCCCCAGCCCCTGGAAAACACCACTCTCCTCTCTGCTTCCATGAGTTTGATGATTTAAATTCCGCATATAAATGAGATCTTACATATTTTTCTTTCCATGCCTGGCTTCTTTCACTTAGCATAATGTCCTCCAGATTCATCCATGTTGCCACAAATAACAGGATTTCTTTATTTTTTAACGCTCATCAGCATTCTATTGTGTATTTACACCACATTTTCTTTATCTATCATTAGGTATTTGGTTTGTTTCCGTATCTAGGCAATTGTGAATAACGCAATATTAAACATAGGGATACAGATATATTTTTGAAATCCTAATATTATTTCCACTGGATATCTATGAAGAAGTGAGATTAATGAATTATAAGCTAGATGTATTTTTTAATTGTAATCTCTACACTGTTATCCATAAAGGTAATATGCGTTCACATTCCCACCAACAGCGTACAACACTTTGCTTTTCTCCAAAACCTCATCGAGACTTGTTGTATTATCTTTCTGATAATAGCTATCCAAAAAGGTGAGATAATAGCTCATTGGTTTTTGTTCCTTTTATTTTTATTTGACATGTAAAAATTGTACATATTTGGGGAATACAGAATGGCACTTCAACATGTGCATACATTGCATAATGACAAAATCCGGGTGATTTGTGTGTGTTGGGAATATTCAAAATCCTCTCTTTTAGGTTTTTAAACGTATACAGTAAATTACAGTTAACCATAATCATCCTACAGTTCTGAAGAACACCAGAACTCATTCTTCCTATCTAGCTGTAATTTTGCATCTGTTAGCCAATACCTCCCCATCTTCACTCACTTTCCAGCCTCTAATACCCACAATTTTACTCCCAACTTCTATAACCTCAAAATTTATTTTTGCTCCCACATATGAGTAAGATCACATCATATTTATATTTCTGTGCCTGACTGATTTTGCTTAATCCAATGTCTTCCAGGCTCATCCATGTTGCCAGGGATGACAGAATCTCATTCATTTTATGGCCGAATAGTATTGCATTGTGTATATATAACACATTTTCTTTATCCACTTGTATATTGATGGATGTTTAGCTTGAAGCCATATCTTAGCTATATAGTACTGCAATAAACGTGGGGGTTCACCATTGCTATTCAACTTTTTAGTGGACATTCTAGACAGAAAAATTGGCCAATAATAAATAAAAGGGATCCAAATAGAAAAGAAGTAAAAACTTTCTCTGTTTGCAGATAATATGATCTTATATATAGAAAACCCAAGGAATTTACAAAAAAAAAAACCTATTAGTGGTAACAAATTATTTTAGAATGTTGGATGGCACAAAATAAGTGTGAAAGAATTATTTATCTTTCTATACATTAGCAAAGAAAAACAAAAAAATTTTAAAAGTATTCAATTTAAAATATCATCCTAATAATAATACAATACCAAGGGAAAAAAAACTTTTAAAAAGAGGTGAAATACTTGTGCACTAAAAACTACAAAACACTGCTAAAGGAAATTAAAGAATACCTAAATGAATGGGAAAACATTATATGCTTATTAATTTATGCTGTGAAAAGAATACTGTCCAAAACAAATTCATTGAAATCCCTGTTAAGTTTTGATTTTATGTTTGAGAATTTTGTTGAAGTTTTGCATTTATATTCATAGGAGATACGGGTCTGTCATTTTCTTTTTTGTGATATCTTTATGAATTTGGTATCAGAGCTATGCATATCTCAAGGAATTAGTTGGGACTTGTTACAAGCAACGTACCTTATTCTATTATTGAATAAAGTAATTTGATTTTTTCTCTATTTTTCTTGGTCAGCCTATCTAAAAGTTTGTCAATGTTATTTATCTTTCCAAAGTGCCTAAATTTGGTTTTGTTTATTTTCTCTATTGTTTTTATCTGTGTTTTCTATTATATGAATTTTTTCGCTAATCTCGTTTCCTTCTGTAGGCTTTTTCTTTGCTTTTTGTTTTCTCATTGTCTTTGAAACCAACCTAATAGTCCCATTTACAGTTTTTTTGTTGTTCTTGATTTTGTTTTTGCATAGAAGTTGACTATTCTGGTCTTAAAGCTTAAAGCTTGAAAACAAAGCTTATATTTGTTTTCTCTGAGTTTCTTCCTCAGGAAAGGACCCATAGGCCTCTCAGAAAGTATCAAAGAACTGAAACTCACTAGATCATTGCATCCAGAAAATAAGACACCAGGCCCCTCATTTACCATGATTACTTCCTTACCTCTCTTCATTTCCTGTTTTCCCACACATAGTTACATTTATTCCCTGCTATCTAGACTACGAATTTTATTCAGTCAGGGAGACGGATTTTAGACTGATATCCCATCTCCTTGGCTGCAGCACCCAATTGAGGCCTTCATTCTTTGCAATAATTCTTCTGAGTGACTGGCTTTCTCTGCTGCAAGCCCCAGAACCTAGACTGAACCCCTGGTGTTTGTTTTGGTAACATCTTCAGGTGATTGAAGTGGAAGGTTAAATTATTAAGGTGTGTTTTGTTTTTGATATAGGCATTTACAATGATAAATTTCTCTCAGAGTACAGCTTTAGCATACATTTTGATATACTGCGTCTATATTTTCATTCATATCAAAATATTTTATCATTTCTCTTGTGATTCCTTCTTTGACTCATTGGTTATTTAGGAGTATGTTGTTTAATTTCCTATATTTGTGAATTTCCTCTGTTTTGATTCATCATTTCATTGCATTTGGGTCAGAGAACATACGTTAAGATTTGAATCATTTAAAAAATATTGAAGCTTGTTTTATGCCCCGACGTATTGTCTATACTGGAGAATGTTCTGTGTGACTGTGAGAAAAATGTGTAATCTTCTATTATTGGGCGGAAATTTTCATATATTCCTATGAGGTCTAGTTGTCTTTTTAGTTTTTTTAGTTTTTCAACTCATATTTCCATCTTAATTGTAAGATTAGTTCTATTTAGTAATGCTAGTGGACAAATAATACTCAATTGTTTGTATATACAACATTTTGTTTATCCATTTATCAGGTGATGTACATTTAAGTTGGTTTACAACTTTTTTGCTTTTATGAATAATGCTACTATTAATATTCGTATAAAAGTTTTGTTTGATACATGCTTTTTTTTTCTCTTGTGTATGTATCTAGCAGTGGAACTGCTCGGTCAATGTTAATTCTATGTTTAACTTTTTTTTGGAGAAACAGCCAGACTGTTTTCTAAAGTGGCTCTAACATTTTACATTTCCATCTGCAGTGCATCAGCACATAAGGACCCCAACTGGCCTGTAGTATTTTTTTCTTTTTCTTTTTTTCTTTTCTTTTTTTGATTCTTTGTCTGTTTTAGTATCAAGGTAATACCAGCCTCCTAAAATGAATCATACATGTTCATTTATCTTTTACTTGTTAGAAGGTGTAGTGAAAAATTGATAGTAATTATTCTTTAAATTTTTCATAGAATTCAGAAGCAAAGATATCTGGATTGGTCTTTTATTTGTGGTTATATTTTGATTACTAAATCAATCCCTTTACTTACTATATGTTTATTCAGATTTTCTATTTTATCCTGAGTCAGTTTGGCAATTTGCGTCTTTCGAGGAATTTGTTCATTTTATCAAAGTTGTCTTATGTGTTGGCATACATTGTTCCTAGTATTGTATTTCTTCATAATTCCTTTTATTTCTGTAAAGATTTTAGTACAGTCCCCTCTTTTACTTCTGATTTTAGCAATTAGAATTTTTTCTCTCATTCTTGTGGTCATACTAGCTAAAGTTTTGCTACTTTTATTAATCTTTCCGAGGAAACAACTTTTTAAAATATTTGCATTGGGCTTACTTTTCTCTTCCTTTTACAATAAATTAAGATGGGAAATTAGGTTGTTTATTTGAGATATTCATTCTTTTTCAGTATAGCTACTTATAGACCATCTTTTCCGGAAGAGAGCTTCTGCAACATGAAGTCTGCAACATGAAGTTTTGGGGAATAAGAAATGCTGGCATCCTCCCCCTCCAGTGGAGCCCTAGACTGAGATATGGGGGTAGAAGGAGTCTTTTATTCTTACCTACACCTATCAGCAGTAGAGCTTCAATTGCACTGAACTGGAGGTGTGAGTGTGTCTCAAATGCCACAGTATCTCACTTTTTAAAAAACACTGAGATTCTCCCAAGTAAACGTATCTATTTGTTGTATACCCTCAGAAAAATTTTTAGAGACTTTAAAGAAAGATTTCTTTAAAATTTATAATTGTTTGGTTGGGAAGAAGATCTGTAGAGCTTCTCATTCTATTATTTCTGAAGTATCTCTCTATTTTTGAGGACTGTAATTATCAGAGTGCAAGACACTGCCATCAGACCTTCTGGAACTTTGGTTTTAAAGTACTACAGTGTCCAATATTTTGTAGAAAACTGGTTGAGGAAATACTCTGGTGGCATCACAAAGAGGTGCTTGTGAAATAGAATGACAACTAACCAGTTTTCAAAATGAAACACTTTATGAATGAGAATCAGGTAGCACGAAATAAACAAAACACGTTGGCCATTTTAAAATCAGATTGTATATTTCATAAAGCAATGTATGAGTAGATCATAAAGTGAATTCAAAGTAATTTTTCTCAATAGATTCCTATCAGCTTTATAGTAACTGGAAACTTTTCTCGTATTTGTCAAATTGTTTTCCCAAAGGATTACTTTCCAGTGAAATTGTCAGTTTTTACTTTTTTATTGGTTTGGTTTGTATCAGGAGCTGTTAATTCATGTCATTTTTTTTAATGTGAATGTCTATAATACACTGTTAACTACACTGAAAACATTCAAACAGGGATAAAAGGCACCAAACAACCAGTAAATGAAATTCCTGTGTACGCTTACAGTGCTATCAAAAATCATATTTATGCATTCACTCAATACTTATGACAAAATCTTTAAATTTCATTGATCCGTGTTTTGAAATATGAGAGACAAATAACTAATAGCCCACTACTATTACTTCAAGAGGCTTACTAAAAGACTTTAGCTATGACTTCTATTATTTTAGTTTTTGACAATAATAGTTTTCACCTTCCTCAATGTTTTATGCTCATTGATTATTCTTTCATTGTGGCTGCTTGGTCTAACGTCGTAGATTTAATGTCTGGATTTTGTTTTGTTTCTTACAGTACATCTCTTTCAGGTGAAGACTGTTGTTCTAATTTTTCAGGGGAGCTTTTTGAATTGCAACACATGCCTTTGGGTCTACTGATTTTCCTTTAATTTTGCATTCTTATAGAGAAATGTCTAGGCATTCCAAATATTCTTTTACTATCAATAAAGTTGATTTGAAATGGATATCTTGTGAAATAGACTGGGATTCTGACAAATTTTAATGGTACAAGTGAGGGGAAAAGGAAAAATTACACTTGCTAGAAATATGTTCTTTAAATTCAGAGATCTAGTTCACTGGCAGAAGTTTAGAAAAAGTTAGGAACAAGAATATGCTCAGTGGGGACTTTCACATGTGCCTCTGTTTTTGCCAAGGAGACCATGTCAGGAAGCAACATTCAACTCTCAGCTCAGCCTTGCTGCTACTCTCCCAAAGCTCTGTTTATTATAGGAGCTTCGGCCATAAATGATTTCTGGGTTCACCAAGTAACACTACTGGACTCCACATTGTGTTGATTTACCCATATTGTTGAAGAGAAGACCAAGTCGTGTGTTCTGACATCTCATGCCATGCTTTCATCTCCAGATGTGAATTCCATAAAATAAGAGGTGTCAAATTCAATTTTAGATATACTGTTCTTTTATTACAGAGTATGTCAAATGTCAGCCCTCTGTCTTCCTTCAAAGAGGTCACATCAGTATTATATTGAGTGGAAATTGTTTACCTTTTTCTAGTCTTTAGCATTAATGTAGATTTTCCTCCACTCATATGCCTTAGCCAGTCATTTTTATTAGTCTTCTATTGCTGCTGTAATGAATTATCAACAACAGAATAATTTACACAAGTTTATTTATTTATTATTATTGTTATTATTATTTCTGAGATGGAGTTTCAAAAACTCTTGTTGCCCAGGCTGGAGTGCAATGGCACAGTCTTGGCTCACTGCCACCTCCGCCTCCCAGGTTCAAACGATTCTCCTGCCTCAGCCTCCCAAGTAGCTGGGATTACAGGCACCCACCACCACACCACCACATCCGGCTAATTTTTGTATTTTTAGTAGAGACGGGGTTTCACTATGTCGGCCAGGCTGGTCACGAACTCCTGACCTCAGGTGATCCACCCACCTCGGCCTCCCAAAGTGCTGGGATTAAGGCGTGAGCCACCGTGCCCAGCCAAATTCATTCTTGTATGGCTGTGGAGGCCAGAAATACAAAATAGAATTCACTATACCGAAGTCTTAATGTCAGCTGGGTTGTGATGCTGCTAAAGTTTCTATGGAATAATCCATTTATTTTTCTTCTATAGCTTCTATAGGCCGTCCTCATTCCTTCGCTTATACCTCCTTATCATATGGTGTTTCCTGCCCCCACTTTTATTATCACATAGCTTCTTCCTCCTTCAAATATTTCTCCTCTTCCTTCTTATTCTTCAGTCTTCAAATCTCTATCTGCCTCCTTCTTCTGAGGACACTTGTGTTTACATTTAGGGCTCACCCAGATAATTCAGGTAATCTCCCCATCTCAAAATATTTAACCTAATTACATATATAAACTTCTGTTTTCCCATATAAATAACATTCACAGATTCCAGGAATGAAGACCTACATATCTTTGTGAGCCATTATTTAGCCTTTCACAGTCATGTAGATAAGAATTCAAAAGAGCAATAATTAGATTCTGGTGTTAATGTTGCCTTCTTCACAGAAGTCTATGACAAAAAAACAACAATTACTCAAATTATTTTTATTTAGCAACTATTAATTTACATTTATCATACATCAGAAACCATTCTGACATCTTCACAAATATTAATTCATTTGGGTCTCATAACAACCTCAATTTACATATGTGGAAAACAAGATAAGGAGAGTTTAAATAACTTGAAAAAAGACTATATAATTTATAATTGGAGGAGATAGGATTTTAACCCAGGCAGTTTGGCTCCAGATATTCTATCTAATAAATGCATTCCTTATGATAAATATCATTCTTTTTAAAGGATGAATGTAATTTTCTGATTTAATCCAAGTTGGTAAAAAATTAAAAGTTTCCTACATCAGATAGAACCATAAACATCCACATACTCCTTGAATAAGTTAAATATGTTTTATCATATTTTAATATTTCTTTTGTTATTTCAATGGGAATAGGGATGACAAGAGACAAATTTATATGCTCACATATTAATCTTGACTATAAGTCCATTTAAATCTTTGTTTTGCCTCTTTTGGCCTTGAAATAACAAAGCAGCACAATGTAACAGAATGGAAAAAAAAATGGAGTTAGAGATACCTGATTTTGAATACTGCCTTAAAGAGTTTAGTTATCTTTAAGCCTTGCATAAGGTGCTTCATTTCTGTCATCTTTGATTTATTTCTATGTAAAATAGAACAACTGAATCAACTTCCCAGGTTTTCTGAATGTTTAAAACAAAATAATATCCATCACCTACCAAGTACAGTGTTTGGGATATAGAAGGTGTTACTTAATATTATTTCTCATTCCAGTGTTTCTTTTCTTCATATGCATATGTATAGTTATGTATTGCTGTCTTTCATATTTTTATTAATATTTTAACATTGTACAAATCTTTATGCTCATTGTCTTATTTGCTTCTCTACAATTTCTCAGTCTGTGGCTCTCTGCTAAGCCAAGATTCTATGCTTAGAAACTCCACACAAGGTGTTTCTGATGCTCTTCCTTGTACCTAAGTATCAAGGCCTACCTCCTCCCACGATGCTGCCAGTTCTCCAGTGAACAGCTGATTTTACTTCTGCCTCCACTGAGAGACTATATGATAAGCAGTGTCGATTAGAGACAGGAGTATTAGGCAATAACTCAATGGGAGATACTTAATTGTATGAGTTCTTAATAAGAGATTCTCAATAGTAATGTTTTTCTTTTTTTTTTTTTTTCTATTTCCCAGTCTTTTGTGTGGGTACATTGTAGGTGTATATATTTATGGGTTACATGAAATGTTTTGATATAGGCATGCAATGAGTAATAATAATTTCAGGTTAAACAGGGTGCCCATCACCTCAAGCATTTATCTTTTGTGTTACAAACAATCCAATTATATTTTTTAGTTATTTTATTTATTTTTATTTACTATTTATTTATTTTGAGACAAGATCTCACTTTGTTGCCCAGACTGGAGTGCAGTGGTGCAATCTTCGCTCATTGCAGCCTCAACCTCCCAGGCTCAAGCGATCCTCCTGCCTCAGCCTCCCGAGTACCTGGGACTACAGGTAGTCAACACCATGCCTGCCTAATTTTTGTATTTTTTGTAGAGATGGGGGTTTCTTAATGTTGCAAAGGCTAGTCTCAAACTTCTGACCTCAAGCAATCCACTTGCCTTGGTCTCCCTAACTGCTGTGATTACAGTCATGAGCCACTGTATTCAGCCTATTTTTATTTTAAATGCACAATTAAATTATTTTTGACTATAGTCACCTTGTGGTGCTATCAAATACCAAGTCTTATTTATTCTTTCTCACAATTTTTGTACTCATTAACTATCCCCACTTACCCCCACCCCCGCTACCCTTACCAGCCTCTGGTAGCCATCCTTCTACCCTCTATCCCCATGAGATCATTTGTTTTGATGTTTGGGTCCCACAAGTAAGTGACAACATGCAACGTTTGTCTTCCTGTGCCTGGGTTATTTTACCTAATATAATGATCTCCAGCTTCATTCATGTTGTTAGAAATGAAAAGTTGCTTTTGCATCTTGGCTATTGTGAATATGTCTACAGTAAACATGAGAGTGCAGATCTATCTTTAATATACTGATTTCTTTTATTTTGGACATACAACCAGTAGTAGGATTACAGGATCATATGGTAGATCTCTTTTACATTTTTGAGGAAGCTTCACACTGTTTTCTAATTTGCTATACTAATTTACATTCCCATCAACAGTGTACTGCTGTTTCCCTTGGCCCACATCCTCAGAATCTTGGTAAACTTTAAATTACCTATGCTGATGAACTATCAGAAGGGGTGTGCCTTGAGTTTCACTGCCAGTGGGAATTATTGGAGGACAGGCCAGCTGAACACTGTGGCTTATTTTTATTTGTGAGATAATAGCTCATGTTCTGGTCTCTGGCCATAACAGAATCAGTGGCAAGAGAATATGACATACTAACATAGGGGGATAAAGAGTGGGAATCAAGGAGAATTTTTAGCTTTTAAGATATTGCAAGGGAACATCACACTCTGCGGACTGTTGCGGGGTGGGGGGAGGGGGGAGGGAGAGCATCAAGAGATATACCTAATGCTAAATGACGAGTTAATGGGCGCAGCACACCAGCATGGCACATGTATACATATGTAACAAATCTGCACATTGTGCACATGTACCCTAAAACTTAAAGTATAATAATAATAAAAAAAGCAATCTAAAATCGATAAAAAAAGATATTGCAACAAAGAATAGGAAGAATCATATTTAAAAAATAGGAAGAATCATATAAAAATCATATTAAAAAAATAGGAAGAATCATATTAAAAGATATCGTGGGAGAAAATTATAGATAACCAAGGGACTTGTGGGCAAAGGTAAAAGAAAAATTAGAGTAAAATACACAGTAGGATGGAAAGTTACTTGTATCATTTAGCTAGTGCTGCAGCAAAACCCACCCCCAAACTTATTGTCTTAAAATTACTATATATATATATATATATTCTATATATATGTTATATATAATATATTATAATATATGTATTATAGATTATAGATTATATATGTAGATTCTATATATATAGATGATTCTGTAATCAATATATATATTGATTTTATATATATATATATATATGGAGAGAGAGAGATTCTGTGAGTTAGCTGGTCAGTTCCTCTGCTGGTTTTTTCAGAGCTAATTTATGTAGAAGTATTCAGCTGGAGGAGCTGATGGGCTACAGGGTCCAAGATGTCTCTCTCACTTGCATGTCCAGCAGTTTCTGATGGTTGTTGGCTCTGGAGGCTCTGCTACACTCAACAGGGCCTCTAATTCCTCAATACGTTAGACTAGCTACCTTATGTGACAAACTTGATACAACATTCCAAGAGATTGTAAACAGAGGCTGCAATGCAACTTTAAAACAAAGCTCTTGCACTTGTATAACATTTCCATCACATTTTTTGTTTCTTTTATAATGTTTTATTTTTAGTTTTTGTAGGTACATACATGTATATATTTATGTGGTACATGAGATTTATTTTATTTCAAAAATTTTGGGAGAACAGGTGATTTCTGGTTACATGGATGAGTTATTTAGTGATGACTTCTGAGATTTTGGTGTACCTGTCGCTAGAGCAGTGTACACTGTCCACAATGTGTAGAATTTTATCTCTCATCCCCTTCCCACCCTTCCCCTCAAGTCCCCAAACTCCATTATATAATTTTTATGCTTTTATGTCCTCATAGCTTAGCTCCCACTAAGTGAGAACATACGACGTCGGTTTTCCATTCCTGAGTTGCTTCACTTAGAATAATGGTCTCCAAATCCATCCAGGTTGCTGTGAATGCCATTATATTGGTTTTTTTTTTATTATTTCTAAGTAGTATTCCATGGTGTATATATACCACATTTTCTTTATCCACATGTCGATTGATGGGCATTTAGGCTGGTTCCATATTTTTGCAATTGCAAATTATGCTGCTTTAAACATCCGTGTGCAAGTGTCTTTTTCATATAATGACTCTTTTTCCTTTGAGGAGATACCCAGCAATGGGATCGCTGGATCAAATGGTAGTTCTACTTTTAGTTCTTTAAGGAGCCTCCATACTGTTTTCCATAGTGCTTGTGCTAGTTTACATTCCCACCAGCAGTGTAAAAGTGTTCTCTTTTTACGACATCCATGCCAACATCTATCATTTTTTTTTATTAGGGCCATTCTTGCAGGAGTAAGATGGTATCTCATTGTGGTTTTAATGTGCATTTCCCTGATAATTAGTGATGTTGAGCATTTTTTCACGTTTGTTGGCCATTTGTGTATCTTCTTTTGAGAATTGTTTATTCAAGTTATTTGCCCACTTTTTGATTGGGTTATTTGTTTTTTTTTTTTTTCTTGCTGATTTGTTTGAGTTCCTTGACAAGTCTGGATATTTGCCTCCTGTTGGATGCATAGTTTGTGAATATTTTCTCCCACTTTGTGGGTTGTCTGTTTACTCCACTGATTATTTCTTTTGCTGTGCAGAAGCATTCTACTTTAATTATGTCCCATCTATTTATTTTTGGTTTTGTTGCATTTGCTTTTGGGTTCTTGGTCATGAACTCTTTGCCTAAGCCACTGTCTAGAAGAGTTTTTCTGATGTTTTCTTCTAGAGTTTTTATGGTTTCAGGTCTTAGATTTTAGTCTTTGGTCTATCTTCAGTTGATTTTTGTATAAGGTGAAAGATGAGGATTCAGCTTCATTCTTCTGCATGTGGCTTGCCAATTATCCAAGCACCATTTGTTGAATAGGGTGTCCTTTCCCCACTCAATGTTTTTGTTTGCTTTGTTGAAGATCAGTTAGATGTAAGTAGTTGGCTTTATTTCTCTAAACAGACCAATAACAAGTGGTGAGACTGAAACAGTAATAAAAGAAATGCCAACAAAAAAGTCCAAGACCAGATAGGTTCACAGATAAATTCTATCAGACAGTCAAAGAAGAATTGGTACCAATTCTGCTGAAACTATTCCAAAATATGGAGAAATGGGGAATCCTCCCTAGAAGCCACTATCACGCTAATACCAAAATAAAGAAAAAAGCATAACAAAAAAGAAAACTACAGGCCAATATTCCTGATGAATATAGATTCAAAAATTCTCAACAAAGTGCTAGCTAACTGAATACAATTGCATATCAAAAAGATAATACATCATGATCAAGTGGGTTTCATACTGTGGATGCAGGGATGGTTTAACATACGCAAGTTAATAAATGTGATACATCACATAAACAGAATTAAAAACAAAAATCACATAAGCATCTCAATAGACATAGAAAAAAGCATTTGAGAAAATCCAGCATCCCTTTATGGTTAAAACCCTCAGCAAAATCAGCATACAAGGGACATACCTTAATGTAATAAAAGCTATCTATGACAAACCCACAGCCAACATAATACTGAATGGGGAAAATTTGAAGGCATTCCCTCTGAGAACTGGAACAAGACAAGGATGCCCACTCTGACCACTTCTATTTATCTTAGTACTGGAAGTCTAGCCAGAGCAATCAGACAAGAGAAAGAAATAAAGTACATGCAAATCACTAAAGAGGGAGTCAAACTGTCACTGTTTGCTGATGATATGATTGTATACCTAGAAAACCCTAAAGGCTCATCTAAAAAGCTCCTAGACTTAGTAAAGTCTCCAGATACAAAATCAATGTACACAAATCAGTAGCACTACTATACACCAACAGCGACCAAGCTGAGAATCAAATCAAGAACTCAATTCCTTTTACAACAGTTGCAAAACAATAAATCAAATACTTAGGAATATACCTAACCAAAGAGGTGAAATATTTCTACAATAAAAAACTACAAAACACTGCTGGAAGAAATCACAGATGACCCAAACAAGTGGAAACACATTCCATGCTTATGGATGGGTAGTATCATTATTGTGAAAATGACCATACTGCCAAAAGCAGTCAACAGATTCAGTGCAATTTCCTTCAAAATACCGTCATCATTCTTCAGAGAACTAGAAAAATACATCACATTCTTTAGCACAAAGCAAGGCACACAGTTATCTCAGATTGAAGGGGTAAGGAAACAGACCTTAACTCTTCAAATGAGGAGTGACAAAGCCATTACAAAAGGACATACATAATGGGATGGGAGAAATTGTCATAAACTTACCACATACTAAATGATTTTTCAAAGGGGAATCATATAATCTGATGATTTTAAAGATTACTCTGGCTATTGTGAGGTGAATGATTCTACTGGGACATAAGCAGATACCTCAGGTAGAAGATTAGTTTAGGAAGAAACTGTCTTCAAAATGTTTAATAAATATTACTAGACATTTCTGCATGAACAATGTCATGGCTATTGCTAAAAGTTTACATAAGGTGCTGTGGCATAGTCTAGACTAATTATCTTTCTAGATTCAATCCATCATAGTTAAAAAAGAATTAGCAAAGATAAATATCTTTTGGAAAAAAGCTTTAAAAGAAAACGTTCAGATAGTCTCAAAAAAGGTAATCACCGAGTTCACCCAATGTATATCTACAGTAGATTAAATCAAATGTATTTTAGTCTCTGTTCAAAAAGTAGTATAATAAAAGCAAAATGTTTTAAAATGCAATGTATTATCCATCCTTTCCCTTCAAACATTTTGTAAAACCTAGACAGCTACTTTGCAAAGGAACTTGGAGTTTGTACTCCTTAAAGCCAGAAGATATTTCTGTGATCTAATTAAAATTTAAGACATAGGAATTGGATGAATCAATTTACAGTCATGGAGAACTGATAATGAAAATGCTGTTTCTAAAAATAGCTCCATTAGAAAGATAAAAGGGGTAGATGTTGCACGCAATGATGGGAAATGATATGCTGCTCTACTGCAAGAAAAGATAATGAATGAAACAGCCAAAAAAGGGGAAAATATCTATATCTATTAATCCTAAATAAAGAATTACAGAGTTGAGCTGAATAAAGACACTTAGAAAAGCAACTCAAAATTTGCCAGAGCTTTTATATTATCTTATTATCAAAGTGCATATATTTTTAATGTTAATTCTCAATAATGGTAAGGGTATAATAAACAGCACTACGGTGCTAGAGGAGTTAATCCTTGTGGTCTTTTTTTTTTTTAAAGACTGTCGCAATATGTATTTTTAACCTTTAAAAATTATATTTTTGACACAATACTTCTAGTGACAGGAATGGCTTAGGAAAGAATTTATATGCAAAAATATCCATCACAGTTCATAGAGGCAAAAAATTTAACCTAAATTGCCAATAGTAGATGGTTAAATTATGATGACTTAGTACAAAGGATTTCCATGTGACTTTTAAAAACCGTGTTTCAATGCATTTACAATGACATGAATAATTCTAAGTTTATTGAACATATGTGGATATAAAATCTTATTAAGAATATGACCTCAATTATGTATTCATAAACTCATGGAGGGATGGTGCTCACGGCTTTGAAGGAATGAACAAGGTGAAAAACTCTATTCCCTAAAATAGTACAAAATTGGACAAGTATTTGATAATAACCATTTAAGGGTTGTGGAAATTGATCTAAGGCAAACAACACAATGAAAATAGTTTACTCCTAAAAATCAAGTAAAAACTGTAGGAGTCTATAGTGTTGTGGCCTGAGGCTATATCTATCCCTCATGAGTTTAATCAGAACAGTAGAGACACCAGGACAGTGTTGGCTGTAAGAAACAGAAACTTTATTGCTAATCTGGGCTGACTTGATTGACAGCAAAGGGTGGGAAACTCATACCCATTGGTAAACAGGGAAGATCTGCAGCTTTGCTAACTGGAGGCTGTGGTCTCAGCTGGGTGTGACAACTGATTAGAAAAACAGCCAGAAATGTAACTGGGAGATTCTGGAAATGGGCAAATCATAGAAAGGTTAGCTAAGCACTCCACGCATGCCTGGCCAACTCACCCAAATACACAAGAGAGGCACAAGAAAACCCAATTTGTTTAAAGAAGCATGATTGAATGAGAGCCTGGACGTACGAATAGGAGAAACTTGAGAGAACACAAAGCCTCCCCATATTACTAACCTGACTGAGACACTGCAAATATGCAAGAGAAAACTAAGAGGACCCAGAGGAAAGTAAAAGAAGAAAATAATGTGAGAAGTTTGGGAACTTTGAAATGCCTCCCTTGAACCACACACAAATCCACTGTCAAAAGATGGAAGACTAACTGACTCAAGGTGTTTGATAAAAGACTTGGAACCAACCCAAATGTCCAACAATGATAGACCGGATTAAGAAAATGTGGCACATATACACCATGGAATACTATGCAGCCATAAAAAATGATGGGTTCATGTCCTTTGTAGGGACATGGATGAAGCTGGAAACTATCATTCTCAGCAAACTATCGCAAGGACAAAAAACCAAACACCGCATGTTCTCACTCATAGGTGGGAATTGAACAGTGAGAACACTTGGACACAGGAAGGGGAACATCACACACCGGGGCCTGTTGTGGGGTTGGGGGAGGGGAGAGGGATAGCATTAGGAGATATACCTAATGTAAATGACGAGTTAATGGGTGCAGCACACCAACATGGCACATGTATACATATGTAACAAACCTGCATGTTGTGCATATGTACCCTAAAACTTAAAGTATAATAAATATATATATATATATATATATATATATATAAAAAATTCTGACCAACTGTTGCCAAACCACTAAGCCATGTAGAAATAAAGGTTACCGATAGGTAATCAGGCAAATATGCTAAACTAATCCAAACATATTCAAACTAAACTACACTAAAATGACATAAAATAAAAACTGAATATAAACATCAGTGACCACACAGAGCAGGGAAGAAAAATACCACAGATTAAGTTCAGGAAAGTTACTTAAAAAACAAATGATAATACAGATGAACCTGGAGGACATTATGTTAAGTGAATTGAGTCAGGCACAGAAAGACAAATACCACATGATCTTACTCACATGTGAAATCTAATAAAGTAGAGAAGTAGAGAGTAGAATGATAGTTACCAGAGAATTTGAGTGGTTAGGAAAGAGGAGAGATGGGAAGATGCTGATAAGGAGCTGATCATAATCCTAAAACACACAATCCCAAGCATTGAAATTTCAAAAGATAATAACACCCATTATTACTTCTGCTCTTTTGTCCCTGTCCTCTTCTGGTACTCCATTACATGTACATTGATAAGTTAATGACGTCCCACATTTATCGGATGTGCTTTTTACTTCTGTTCATTCATTTTGCTGCTCTTTAGAATGAACAATCTGTATTGATATTCTTTGAATTCACTGATACTTTCTTATACTAGCTCCTCCAATAAATTTATGATAAATTTATTTCCAGAAAATCCAAGTCTGGCTATTACATGAACTGGAGAAAAAAAAGTTCAGTGGGAAATATGTTGTCTGAAATCTGTGTCCAATCAGAGGCAGCTTTTATTGTTTGCATTTTTTTCTGGTTATGGCTCACATTTTCCTGTTGTATTGTAATTTTTTTAGAATTGTGGATATTTTAGATAATGGATTTAGTGGTAGCCAATCATAATCTTGAAAAGCAAAATCCTAAACATCATAATCCCGAATGTTGAAATCCTGAAAGATCAAAATCTCTAATGTCTAAGTCCCTAAAGTATAAACACCCTAATGTCTAAAAATCCCCAAAGTAACAATCACAGAATAGTTCCATTGTGTCACGTGAACTATTACCTTGTTATTGTCTTTATTTGGAAATTAGTATTATTTATAAAAATGAATATGCATGCCAAGTTGACAAGAAAAAGGCAGAAAGCATTGGGGTGACATATTCAAAGTGCTGAAAGAAAGAATCAACTGAAACTCTTATATGCAGAATAACCACCTCTAACAAATGAAGGCAAAATAAAAACTATCCCCTGATAAACAAAAATCATGAGAGTTTGTTGCTAGCACACACTACTTACAAAAAATAATAAGATTACAGGACGTTCTTTATAAGAAAGCAAGTGGATCCAAGTGGAAATTCAAATTAACATGCAAAAAACAGAGTTTTTCTAAAGATAATTATTGAGCCAATTATAAGTGGCATAAAATTGCGTATTTCTTTTCTTTGCTTAATTGATTGAAAAAGCAGTTGAATAAAACACTATAAATTTAATGGTATTGATGAGTCTACAATGTAAAAAAATGTAATATATTTGACAGTAATGACATGAAGGCAGTGTGTGGGAACAGATCTTCATTATAAGATGAAAATTGTATGAGATAGTAACTTAAATCCACAGCTAGAAATGAAGAGAACCAGAAACATAAATAAGAAGGCTAATATAACAATAATGTTTATTCTCTCAAGTACTTTAAAAGACACAAAATTATATAAAATAACATAATCGAAATTGTGGGCAACGGAATCTTCCTGACACTGAATGGCCAACGCATAAAGGTTCCTTTGGACAAACCATAGCAGAACATGTGGACCTCAAGGTGAAAACTTTTTCTGATGTCTGTAAGAAGCTCATGAGCAAGGATGTTCATTTTGAATTCCCATAGTTGCAAACAAAAATGATTAAAAAATGTATATTCACAGTTAAAAGAAATTTTACAAAAAGACATAGGCTGCAATCCATAGCCTGGCAACATGGTCCTCCTTGCTCTGCACCACTGGCAGAGAGAAGATCCTGGGAGCTTTTGCTTATTTTTTGTGTGGCTTTTTCGAGTTGGCTTAGACAGAATTCTCCTCTGAGCAACAAAGACAACATGTTTCCCACTGAACTTCTTCTCAATTCATGTAATAGCCAGACTTGGATTTTCTGGAAAGATTTCAGTTTAGGAATGGGAACAAAGATTATAATAACTTTCCAACTATCAACAATTTCAATTTCCTTGGTTGTTGTTATATTCAGTTCCCTGAGCTGAGGCTTGAGGTCCGAGTTCATCTCCAGCTCCAGAAAAGCTGGACTCAAACTCACGTGGCTTCATGTGGTTGCGCTTCATGATCTTGGTCTCAAAATGAACATGACCTTGTTGCTGAGTGCCAGCTTAGGAGGAGTGCAGCCTTTATTCTGAAACATATTGACAGCCATTTGTTTTAAAGCGGGGTATGACACAGTATGACTTCCATTTTACAGAGATTTTTAGAGCTACCCACTAGAAGCCATCAGTAACGGAAAAGAAAGAATCAGTACTGTTATTCTTCTTTCTTGCTTACTTACGATTTTTTAAAAAGGCAATGAAACAAAACTGTGATAATGAACTACACGTGTTGTATTTCTTGAAGAAACTTCTTGTAAATTAATGTTAAATTTCCCCAATATTACTAAATGGCATTACAAATTAGGATTGCCATATGCTACAAAGAAAGAAAATAATTTACAAATCACTTAAGAGTATTCGGGGAGAGAGGAAATAGTTTAAGACGTCACATAAGCTTGAGACAATTCTGCTATGGTTCTATCTGTCTTTTAACCACGACTTTGTTGTCTCCTTGTGCATCTGAAAAAGTAAAAAGGATAAATGATTTATCTAAATGCTGGTGATAATCTGAATTATACTTTTTCTTTTAACAGTGTTAACAGTTTGAAGTGGCTGAAAGGTAACAGTCAATAAGAAAACAAGGCATCACTTTGAATAATAATAATAGCTCTCACTTATGTGTTATCATATGTCAGGCGTGGTTCTTAGCAAAGGTGATCATATAAATCCTCATATACACAAGGACACTTTTGAGAGTGAAAGGAGCCACTAATTAATAAATATATAAATATAGGAGAAAATGTTAGTAATTGGCACCTAGAATAAATTAAGACAATTCCCTACTCCATAGAGGTTTACAGTCTGGTGAAGTTTTCTGCTATGATCTTCAGGTTTAGTTGTTTATTGGGGCTAAAATACCTCTTGCTTTCCAAAAGACCACTGGGACATTCTTTATAACAGCTGCTCTGTGTTCTGTGCTTTTCTCCCCAGGTCCTAATATGTGGCTTTGAGGCTGCTGGCTCATACTGAGGTACTTGAGCAAAGAGTAGGAGTAAAATCAAGACTGTTCCTCCCAATAGCCAAGCAAAGCCTCTGGGTGAGCTTGTCTGTTTCAAATGGTTTTTACCTTGAAAGCCTTTCGGCAATCAGGCTGAATGGCAGTGAGAAAGAAGGTTAGGCAGAAGAAAAAGTCATAGTAGCAAATCCTCCTGAGGGCAGGAAATAAGGATCTGGACCAGAAATTTCAGTTCGCCAATGATTTTCTTCTTTGCAGAATCAGTGTCCAGTATAAGAGGGGAGAGAGTGGAAGTGAAGCAGGCAGTAAATTGACACTAGAATCGTTTATGACATCCTTTTCTTCATATGCCCTTCATACTGTGGGAGCTTACAGATGGATGCATTGGGGTTCTGAGAAATATCACACAATTGCAGAGATTTTGCAAGGCCTGTGCTGAGTGGTGTAAACCCTAGAGTCATGGTATCATACGACTAAAAGTAAATTCTCCAATTTTTAGTAAAATAGACACCATGTTACCTTTTAATGTAATTGTTGAAACCATGTAACTGTCTTCTGGGTGACTATGGAAGCATGTCAAGTCAGACAACACCTACACTACTAAAGTGAATGGACACTCACAATGATGAGTTAATGGATTTAAAAAAATAATGATGAAATATAGTTCACATAGCATAAAATTCACCAAAGTGCACAAGTCAGTGGTTTTCAGTATATTTACAGAGTTGTACATTACCACTCATGTACAACTTACTATTATCTATTTCCAGAAATTTTTCTTCACTTTCAAAAGAAACCCTGAACCCCCATTCATGGATCGTTAAATGTAGCAGGATCTCTCAGGTAGCAAGGACATAAAGGAGATGGGCAGGCCATAACACTGCCGATCCCAGAAATTTGCTAGGAAACCACCTTCTTGCTTGTTCATGAAATCACTGGTTCCTTTATATATTCATACATCTATTCATTCTTGGAAGATTTATTGAGTGCTTACTCATGCCAAGCACTGTACTAGATGTTGAGCATATAACAGTAAACCAGGCATTCATAATTTCTACACTACTAAACTTTACAATTTAGTAAAAAAGTATTAATCATATTAACAAAAATAAATTAAAATTATGATAAATCCCAGGAAAAATAACATGTATAAGGAGCATTGGCTAACTTAGCTGGGAGTCAGAGACGTTTCTCTAGAGTAAGAAGTATTTAAGCTGACATATCAATGAAAAGTAGGAGCTAGCCAGATAAAATGTTCGCCCTGAGGTGGACAATAGTTTATTTAAGAAACTGAAATAATAGTAGTAATAATACCCTATGTATATTAAGTTCTTAAATGTGCTACATTTTCCAATGCATTTATCCATGTTTCTTGACATCAGTTTCTGTATTCCCTGGCTTACTCAACCATTTAGACAATGTGTTCTGGATTATTGACTTCAGTTTTCTATAAGATAAGGTGTCTTTGAACAGTATCCATAAGCCGCTTTTAGTTCAAAAAGAACAGTGCTCCAAAATAGTGGCTCCTCCTAAACTGCTCCTCAAGGTGTGGTGGTAGATTTAAAACCTCCAGGTCTTTTCTGCCTAAAGAATAATTTGATATGTCATTTTCAATGAGTTTCCTGAGCAATTCAAAAGATTTTAGTTGTCTTCTTTTCTATAACACTGGATCTCAATTTTGTATTGAAAGGAGCTTAAATGTGATGTAAAAAGTTTCCAACATTTGAAAATCTATTCTCAGAAGAATGAGTCTGAAAAATGTGAAATATGCATTCATGCCACTCGGTGAAAAAATGAGAAACCCGTGCACTTGCATGCATGCATGTAAAATGACCTGAATCTGCTCGTACCTAGATCTTGGACATCCCAGCTTCCAGGACTATGAGAAATAAATGTCTGTTGTTTATAAACTAGCCAGTGTAGGTTCCTTTCTTTTTTTTTATTTTATTATTATTATACTTTAAGTTTTAGGGTACATGTGCACAACGTGCAGGTTTGTTAAATATGTATACATGTGCCATGTTGGTGTGCTGCACCCATTAACTCGTCATTTAGCATTAGGTATATCTCCTAATGCTATCCCTCCCCGCTCCCCCCACCCCACAACAGGCCCCGGTGTGTGATGTTCCCCTTCCTGTGTCCATGTGTTCTCATTGTTCAATTCCCACCTATGAGTGAGAACATGCGGTGTTTGGTTTTTTGTCCTTGTGATAGTTTGCTGAGAATGATGGTTTCCAGCTTCATCCGTGTCCCTACAAAGGACATGAACTCATCATTTATTATGGCTGCATAGTATTCCATGGTGTACATGTGCCACATTTTCTTAATCCGGTCTATCATTGTTGGACATTTGGCTTGGTTCCAAGTCTTTGCTATTGTGAATAGTGCTGCAATAAACATACGTGTGCATGTGTCTTTATAGCAGCATGATTTATAATCCTTTGGGTATATACCCAGTAATGGGATGGCTAGGTCAAATGGTATTTCTAGTTCTAGATTCCTGAGGAATCGCCACACCGACTTCCACATGGTTGAACTTGTTTATTATAGCAGCCCAAACCAACTAAGACAGAAGCTGTCCTGACCTCCTGGTCTAGGTAAAGTCCCCCTGTGTCATACTTCTACAGTCAACCCAAACGAAGTCCCCTGTCATTACATCCATCACACTGTATTGCAAATGCTTCTTCAATATCTCTCATCCCTGCTGGGCTATAAGTTACTTAAAGTAATGAATGAATAATTTCTAAGAAATTAAAGAGAATAAAATGAATTCTTTACTCTGAAGGGCTAGTCTTCTTGAAGTGATTTCCAACATTTCCTCCTTTGTGTAATAACACTTTTATATTTATTCAATTTCAGAAGCCTCTGGCCTACTCATTAATTTGCTTTTGATAAAGTTCATGACAGACTATAGGATGACTGGAGATATGTTCATTCCATTGTCAATTAATTGGATGTCTTCTCCATGCCGGAAATGTTGCAGCAGGGTACTGAGCAAGATAATGGAATAGTACATACAGTGTAGCTGAGGAAACTTTCTCAGTGGGAAGAACAAGGTGCTATGGGACCTCACAGAAAAGGCACCCAAGGGAGACTGTAATGTGTTCTCAGCTAAATGAAGGTAGTTCATTATGCTTATATACATCTGTGGACATTAACAGGAAACCAGAATTGGAGTCATTGTCCTAGAATGCTATCTAATTAATAAACTTATCATCTGACCCTTAAAGCTCTCAGTAAAGTCCTATGAATGAAAGAAAAATGTTCCTGGCAGTTTCATAGAAAAAAAATTGTTAAATTTATCTGTACCTTTGATTCTATTCCTAGAAGTACTCTGTGCTCATGTGCCTTCATTCTTTAAGTATGACATGGGAATAACAGTCTCAAAAACCAAACTCTCGCCTTTTCTACCCTTTTAGGTTCTTTCAATAGATAACTTTCCATTAAACAATCTGCATCATTTGAAGCATCACATCAAACACCATTGGCTTGGCATTAATATGAAACTGGAAAAAATAAATATTAAAAAAGGATGGTGAAGTAAGATTCTGGGCTGGTTTTAAATATTGCCTTTTGTAGAGCACTGTGCACTTCCAATCTTTCTTGGTCTCTGAACATACTGGCTGCTAGCTGAGGCAAAAAGAAGCGATGGTTTTCAAAAGATCATTCAATCATGGTAAACATTTACAGATTTCTCCCACTCCTGTCTTTTTTTCTCCTTCTTCTCCTTCTCCTCCTCCTCCTCCTCCTTCTCCTCCTTCTCCTCCTTCTCCTCCCTCTCCTCCTTCTCCTTCTTCTTCTTGAGACAGAGTCTCACTCTGTCACCCAGGCCGGAGTGCAGTAACTCGATCTCAGCTCACTGCAACCTCCACCTCCCAGGTTCAAGCGATTCTCCTGCCCCAGCCTCCCAAGTAGCTGGAATTACAGGTGCCTACCACCACGCCTGGCTAATTTTTGTATTTTTAGTAGAGACAGAGTTTCACCATGTTGTCCAGTCTGGTCTTGAACTCCTGACCTCAAGTGATCCGCCTGCCTCAGACTCCCAAAGTGCTAGGATTACAGGCATGAGCTACCGCTCCCAGCCTTCTTCTCTTTTCTTCTGCATTATAGTGTGCCAAAGCTATCTGTTTTTCATACTTCTGGAAGCCAAACAGCATGTCTTTGGTTAGCAGTTCATATCATCACTACCCAGGAATTAATGTTTTCAAACCAAAAAAAAAAAAAAAAATTAAATGATACATCTAAAAAAAGAGACAATTATGATTCACTTGTGGTGGAAAATCATGTATATAAATTTATTGTCTTGGAAGAAATTATAGAGTAATCTTTCCCCATGTTAAAATTTTAAAAACCATAATTTGATACAAATTAAATTTTAAAGACATTATAAATTCATACAAATGGAAATTAGCAAAGCAAAGCACAACAGTCTGACAAAACTCATTATTAAAAAAAAGTTTTAAAATCCAGCAAATCTCTGTTTTTTTAAATATCTAGATTGGAATAATGAATAAATATTGGAATGCTCTTTTACATGTCATATATTTGACTTTTAGGTTTCCAAATATGAACGGCTTAGGAAAAAACAAGGAAAGTGTTTATATAGTTATATATGCATATGTATTTGTGTGTATGAAAAGAATATATGATACAAATTGCAACAAGAATGTTTAGTTATGATTTTCAAATCAAATAGATATGATATAGGAACTTAAACAATTTAAGTTACATATACTTAAATTTATGTGTATTCTCCACTTTTTGTTGGCAATCATAAATCTTGAGTATTATTGATGTTTTTAGGTTTATAAGACAGAATATTTAAAAATGGAATTCTCAATTATGATTTCAGCATTATATCAGATAATGCTTCCAAAAGACACACAATTTGAGAATCTTTGCAATGTCATTTTCTTTCTGTATAGGGCAACATCATTCTAATGGTGAAATAGAATCACATGATATTCAACTTGAGAATACGAATCAATCAGCCCTCAGTTGCAAAAGGATGGGGTTAACTACATTGAGCCAACCCAGCCCTGTGAGCCACTGCTCATTAATGGGAGTTCTGTCACAGTCTGAGGACAGATTGATCTTTAAATCCTTTTGAATTATTCATATGTATTCATGGAATACACACAATCTGGTATCCTCTTCAGTGATGTGTTTGTATATGAAACACCATGAGTGTTTTGTAATCTCATACTTGCCTAGCAGAGAAATGTATTATAATATCTAAATGACAACTGGGTAGGTACAAACATCATAAATTTTCCTATCACTCAACTGTATAGAATTTATCATTTTGTACGTCAAAATTATCATATATTATTATTAAGCCAGAACATATAATTGGAAAACAAAATTACAGGCTTTAGGGTAGAAAACATTTGGATTCACATTCCAGCTCTTCCAGATTAAGCTGTGCTCAATTTAACCAACTCTAAAGTGAGGGATAATATTAACTACAGAGATCAATTGTGTCAGAAAACCCTGACTTTTTTTTTTTAAAGAAAGTTTTATCGGCCAGGCGTGGTGATTCACACCTGTAATCCCAGCACTTTGGGAGGCCAAGAGGGGGGGATCACGAGGTCAGGAGTTTGAGACCAGCCTGACCAACGTGGTGAAACTCTGTCTCTACTAAAAAATACAAAAATTAGCCAGGCGTGGTGGTGCCCGCCTGTAATCCCAGCTAGTCAGGAGGCTGAGGCAGAAGAATCGCTTGAACCCGGGAGGCGGAGGTTGCAGTGAGCCGAGAGCGCCACTGCACTCTGGCCTGGGCGAGAGAGTGAGACTCTGTCTCAAAAAAAAAAAAAAAAAAAAAAGTTTTATTAAAGTATAACTGATATACAAAAAAAAAAAAAAACCCACACATATTTAATGTATAAAATTTGATGAGTTTGGAGAAAGCCCTGACTTTCAACCTGGCTTAACCGAAAGAAATCCTGAAGTAGGGCAGCCTCCAAGTAAGATATGCCAGTGATTAGCTTTATTTCTTTGAAATTATCTGTCCTCTTCTCTATGTTGGCTTTGCATCTCTCAGACTGAGAGCAATGCATCTGCCAGATATCAAGGCATCCTATCCAGAGAAGCCAACATCCAAAGGAAGGAGAGAGACCATCTCTTAACAGTGTCTCTTTTAATAATAAGTGAACCTATACCAGAAGACCTCCTACTCAGCAGAACCTCCTTCTGTCTTGCTGGCCAGAATTGTGTCACATTTCCACTCCTGATAATTATTGATTGGCAAGGAAACTGAGACTACCTTGAGCCTTAGTCCACCAAGACTAACTCCTAAGGAAACAATGGGGCTGCCCATGTTCTACCATGTTGGGGGGTGGTAGATATCTGAACAAACTAGGGATACTTTTGGCAAGAATAAAAGAAAAAATGAAAGCTAGACAAGGCAAACAATGAATGAAAAACACCTCAGGGTATTCTGATTAGTAAATGAAACTATATGTTATGTGAAGTCCATCCTTATATGTCTAACACAAAGTAAATACTCAATAGATAATTGCTACTGGTATTATCGTTGTTGTTAGTATTATTATTAAACTATACCGTAAACACTATAATAGCAGCCACGGTTGGGATACAAAGGAAATATACTTCTATTTTTATTACTAACTCTCTGCATGGCTTAGACTCTATACCAGGAAATGGAAGACATCTCCAAAGTAAAAAATAGTAAATATTTTAGTCTTGTGGAGTACATAGCTTTTTTGTCATATATTCTTTGTTTTTGTTTTGTTATTTTTCTGTTCTTTAACTATGCTAAAACCGTTCTCAGCTCCCAGGAGGTACAAAAGCAGGCCACAGGCAGGCTTGCTGATCCCTACCTTAAAACAAGTACTCTTTAGCTTCATTGTGCCTTAGGTTTTCCATTTGTAAAACGGAAGACTAGAAGTGCCTTCTGAGGAATGTTGTAGTGAGGATTAAATAATGTATGTATTCAGGTTAGAAACTAGACTGACACATGGTAGCAACTAAATGTTAGTGATGGAGATTGCTGTTGCTTTAATTCACCCCATTTATGCATCCATCAACTGACAAACATATTGAGAGATAAAACACACCCACAGCTGCAAGTGTGTATATTATAAACCAATAACGAATTATATGGTATGAAGGGGTGTCATGGGTTCAAGTGAAAGACAGCTTGGCACAGAAGAAAAACATGAGTTTATGAGTTAAGCAGTCCTGGGTTCCAATCCTGAGTCTGTCACTCAGTAGTTGTTGGGACTTCAGGAAAGTTATTTCACTAAGTCTCACTTCTCTCATCTACTAACATTAAATACTAATAAAGTCCTTCCTTACTGGATTGATGTGAGTGCTAATTAAAGATGCATGTCAAGAGCCTGGCACATGAGAAGAACTCAGTAAATGACAGTTGCTATCACTTCTCATTTTCCTTTGAGTTGTATTAAATGCCTTTGAGGCTGTGTCTCCAAAACAGCCAGTCGATACTTGGGGGAAAATAGCAAGTGCTTGATTGTGATTTGACTACTTTTTGACTGGCACTCCCAAGCCAGTGACTCAGAACAACCCATGTATATAGAAAAACAAAAATTGGCTGGTTAATTAAGCCTAAAATATTGATCAAACAGCCCTGTGTATGCATACAGCTTGATTATGATTTCTTTAAGTTATATACGGCATTTCTTAATATATCTGACAGGAAAGTGATGGAATTTTAATTATTCAATTTTAAAGTTCATGTCTCAGGCTCCCAAGCTTCAATTTAGCTTTGTTACTGAGGTAACTGGGCATTCCCATCCAGGGTGGGAAACTAGGCTAACACTAGATTTTACTTTCTCACCCTAGATGTCTGCTAATGTAGATACTAATTTGAGAACAAATCTTTCGGGTCTTAGTAAAATCCACCAAGTCTGAGATAAAAACCAAATAATTATGTGGCGGCAGCATTGGCAGCTTAAAGAGAAAGAAATGTTAGTTATAAAAAGATTGAAAGTAGATATTTACATGATTTTCTTTCAACTATCGAATTTGGATTTTGACAAAATGAAGATTAACATTGCAGAAATGCCTACTATGCACTACGCATTGGAGAAACTGAGGGACAGAAAGATCAAGTAATTTTTCCAAAGTCATATATATAATAAATGCATGAAGGAAAAACAAATCAACTGACCCAATCTGCCTGTTACCCATTCAGTCTTTTCGCTCATTTCAATGACATCTTAAATTGGAGCTTCTCAAATCCTTGAAAAATACACATGGAATGACCCATTTCTACCTCTCTGTTTTTATTTCTGCTTAGCTCACGAGAAGAATAGCTGACATTTACCAAATTACTAGGATTAGCTATTTCAAGAACAAATTTTATTCCCTTAAAATCTGTAGACACCTGAAGGGAAAGAACCATGTTTGCCTTCCTCAACTGCTGCATCCCAAGTGTCTAGAAGTAGCTAGAGCAGTGCTTGACACATTTTACACACTCAATACTTATTTCTTGGATGAAGGAGAATGCGGAATTTTACAGAAAGGAACATTTAGTCTCTTGACCATAAGTTCTGCAATTGAGGCTGCAGAGATCTGAGAGCTCCAGAATCAGTACATCTGCATACAAGCCACACTTAATTTAACCCTTGGAAAGTGGACTGCTGAAAATCCCAGCTGGGTAATGCCCCAACGTGCGTAGAACTGTCCTACAGTGAGTATTGCGATGCTTCACTCAGATCCTTCCTTCAGAACTGAAAGATTTATTCCTCCAACTAACAAGAGTGTAGGCGGCAAGGTAGCACTCAATTGTCAGTCCTCAACTGGAATTGCCTCAACTGAAGAGATCCACCTTTCTTAAAGTCACATCCCCATCTTCCTGGGGCAGCCCATATCCCCTTAATAATTACTGCAGCAGTACAAAAGCCCAGAACCCTTGCCCAAACTCAGAACATTCTAAAGGATCATCCCAGCTTCAGAACTCCTCATGGCATTGGCTGAAGCCTTTGTTGAGACTCACAGACCAACTTTTCCCTCTACCCAATTCAGCTTCTTTCTCTTCCCTTCCACTGGTGTTAATCCCAAAGACATTCCTTATTAGACATCTTGCATACTAATCTCTGTCTCAGTATCTGCTTTATACAGAATCCAATCTATGACAAATTCCTCTATGTGCTCCTTTCTCCTAGCACATTTTTCTCATGTGGTGACTTTCTTTTCTAGCATGCCAAGACCTCCCCCATCCAAGAATTAAGGTTTATATAAGTTTTTCAATGAGATATGGGATACAACCAATCACACAGGCACGAAGGAGAGAATGAATGCTTCTACTCTTCCTTGTTAGATCCAAGCATTATGGGGTTAATAAATTCCTTTCACAGACATCTTAAAATATTTCTCAAACCTCTCCCTAAATTGTGAAGAAAGAACATATCCTCCAGAAAGACTGGGCATATAGCCTTAAGTGGACAAGTGAACTCAGTATCTTTTTGAAGTCCCAAGTTTTATGCTAGATATAATTATAAATTTGGCATTTAATTCCATTAAATGCCATGTAATGGATTCATCCACCATTTCAAAAACTGAGTAAAATTAACTCTCTAAGAAAGTGAGCATTGCTCTCACTGTGGCTATTTACACAGTGAGACATGTATCTGAGTTAGAGTGTGGCCTAAGATAAAAACTCCTGGTTAGCTGGTAGAGTCATACTGGGGAGTATACAGAATGCCCATCTGACCAGTCAGTTCCTGCACCTTAGGGTTGTTAACTATTTTAAATATAATCCCTGCCTAAAATATATCCATTTCAAGGAAACTGGTTTGTACCACATTTGTCATGTTGAGTATTTTTGTCCTCTTGGAGTTTTCTTTTTCTCCTTTCTTTTGAGCTTCTTCCATCCCTCCCTTTCTCTCACCTCATTCCTCCATCTTGCCACCTCTATTTTTTTCTTTCCATCTCCTCTCATCATCTTCTTTTTATTCTTCACTTTCTGTCTATATATTTTTCAGTTAAGTTTGAAGCAAGCAGATTAAGCATGTTGATGTAGGGCTGATACTATACATATTAAATAATATTCAAACTTGTAATTATGCTAAGGGCTTCAAACGATTTTGGATAACATTGCTTTACTGAATCTAAAAGGCTTGATCAATTAATCTATGTGGTTTTGCCTAATTCTGATACTGTGATTCTCTTGCCAGATTCCATGTCCAATGAGCTAAAACATATCGAGACAAATACATTCCATATTCTGGCTGAGCTCAGAGTGCATGCTAGGTAAAAACTAATTCAAATTTTGAACACGATGATATAAAACTCTGAGTAGCTGCCTGTACCGATAGTAACTGTAACATCATCAACAAAAACAACAAGAATAGCTAAGATTTATTGGGTATTTATTATGTCTGGCATTGTGCTAGGAGGTTTCCATATATTAAGCAACTTAACCCTCACAACAACCAAATGAGAAAGGTAATAGCATTTTGCTTTTCTTTTCTTTTAACAGAAGTTAAAAACTAAGCTTGGTAAGGTTATGTGTTCGGCTAAAGGTTATATAGCTACTAAGTGACGAATCAAGATTTGAGCCCACGTAGTCTGTGTATAGAATCATCTTTTCTGGAATCTTCCCATTTTGCCTCAGCATCATCATGGGGAACCCAATGTCTATTGCTATGTGTCAGTTTCAGTACAATGTTGATAGACTATGGTGTCCTTTATTCTTAGGTAAGCATGTGCATTGTGTGTGCATGTATGTGTGCCCTCCCCACATACATAAACATAATACAAAGTGATTCATGCAGTCATAGAGATTTTCACTTCCAAGAGAGCTTTTTTGTTCTTGCTAGGCTGACTTTATTTCTCTTTGATATTCCCATAGTTTCTGCCTATTCCTTTAGTGAGACATTATTTCATTATATTCAATCATATGTTATACCATCTGTTTTTTATCACTGAATCATGAACTCTTTTCAAGAAGTCTACTTAGCTTATCTTGGGATCACTAGCTTTTACCATCATGCCTATTCTATATTAGGCACTACATAAATGAAAAAGTAGCAATAAAGGCAAAAAGAAGGGACCTACTAAATCTTATGAAAGGAGAGATGGAAAGATTTATTAAGGAAGAGATGCTCTAACTAGGAGTGTACTAAGTACATAAGAGCAGGAAGTACATTACAGGAAAGGGAATAGACTATTTCTAGGCCTCAAAGAAAATGTGAAATATGCTGAGGGATGAAACATAGGTTGCATGGAATAAGGTGCTATGTTGCATTAAGAGCAGAATAAAGAAGCCCACAACCAGGCTGGAAGAGTGATTGGGTCCAGTAAAGGGAATCCATGATAATGTCAAAAAAAAGGAGTTAAGATTATACATATACATACACACACACACAAATACACATGTATGTACACATACACATAGATATAAAATCTTATGCATAGGAATTAAGAATATATATATATATATAAGGAGTTAAGATTATATATACACATACACATATATGTGTATATATATATATATTTGATGAAGAGATGAAAAGCATTTTAGAGATTTTTATTATACTTTAAGTTTTAGGGTACATGGGCACAATGTGCAGGTTTCTTACGTATGTATACATGTGCCATGTTGGTGTGCTGCACCCATTAACTCGTCATTTAACATTAGGCATATCTCCTAATGCTATCCCTCCCCCCTCCCCCCACCCCACAACAGGTCCCAGTGTGTGATGTTCCCCTTCCTGTGTCCATGTGTTCTCATTGTTCAATTCCCACCTATGAGTGAGAACATGCGGTGTTTGGTTTTTTGTCCTTGCGACAGCTTGCTGAGAATGATGGTTTCCAGTTTCATCCATGTCCCTACAAAGGACATGAACTCATCATTTTTTATGGCTGCATAGTATTCCATGGTGTATATGTGCCACATTTTCTTAATCCGGTCTACCATTGTTGGACATCTGGGTTGGTTCCAAGTCTTTGCTATTGTGAATAGTGCTGCAATAAACATACATGTGCATGTGTCTTTATAGCAGCATGTTTTATAATCCTTTCGGTATATACCCAGTAATGGGATGGCTGAGTCAAATGGTATTTCTAGTTCTAGATCCCTGAGGAATTGCCACACTGACTTCCACAATGGTTGAACTAGTTTACGGTCCCACCAACAGTGTAAAAGTGTTCCTATTTCTCCACATCCTCTCCAGCATCTGTCGTTTCCTGACTTTTTAATGATCGCCGTTCTAACTGGTGTGAGATGGTATCTCACTGTGGTTTTGATTTGCATTTCTCTGATGGCCTGTGATGATGAGCATTTTTTCATATGTCTTTTGGCTGCATAAATGTCTTCTTCTGAGAAGTGTCTGTTCATATCCTTCGCCCACTTTTTGATGGGGTTGTTTTTTTCTTGTAAATTTGTTTGAGTTCATTGTAGATTCTGGATATTAGCCCTTTGTCAGATGAGTAGATTGCAAAAATTTTCTCCCATTCTGTAGGTTGCCTGTTCAAGGACTTCATGTCTAAAACACCAAAAGCAATGGCAACAAAAGCCAAAATTGACAAATGGGATCTAATTAAACTAAAGAGCTTCTGCACAGCAAAAGAAACTACCATTAGAGGTTTTATATAGAGATTGAGAAGGCTTATTTCAATTTTAAAAATATCATCCTGGCTGCAATATAGTGAAAGAAGGGAATCCAGAATAAAGACAACACAACAGTTAGGGGTCACTGTATGTACAGATGGAGAGAAATAAATCAATTCAGGATTTAAGAGAGACAGAGAGAGGTGAGATTGGCATAATAGGAGGCAATTGAATTGATCAGATATGAAGAAAAATCAGAAGAATTCAGAATGAGTACAGGAAAATAACATGTTTGGGGATGAGCTAATGTATTTGGTCTGGTGTGTCTCATACATAATTTTTATAGGTGCACCAATCTTTTTCCCATAGTTGAAACACAAAGATTACATTTCCCATAAAATAAAAGCAATGCTACATATGACCACCACTGTCCTTAAACCACTTCTTTGACTCTCAATTGTTGTTCATAGAAATGAAATGTGACTGAATCAAGTTCATATTTTTAGTTTTATATCATAATCAGAATCATCTACCATGATCTTTTTACTCTCTCAAAAATTGTCCAAAATAATTCTTCTTGAACTTTATACTAGAGGTATATCCCCTGCTACAAATTCTTATAATTCAAATGTATGGTCTGTTAATTCCATATAATGTTGATTAATGTTAGCATGTTGTATTACATAAGGCCAATTTGCAATCAAATTGAAAAATTTATAAATAATAAAGCTTAATTATTTTCCTTTGTAATTGCTCTTTCTTCAGAGGCTTAGTTTAGGTTTTTCTCTCTCTCTGTGTTTTTTTTTTTTTTTCTTAGACGGAGTTTTGCTCTCATTGCCCAGGCTGCGGTGCAAAGGCACGATCTGGGCTCGCTGCAACCTCTGCCTCCTGGGTTCAAGAGTTTCTCCTGCCTCAGCCTCCTGAGTAGCTGGGATTACAGGCACCCACCAGCACGCCCAGCTAATTTTTGTATTTTTAGTAGAGATGGGGTTCACCATGTTGGCCAGGCTGGTCTCGAACTCCTGAGCTCAGGTGATACACCTGCCTCGGCCTCCCAAAGTGCTGGGATTGCAGGCATGAGCCACCGCACCCAGCCAGGTTTTTTCTTTTCTTCAACATTACTCAAAATTAGGTTTCGTCATAAGCCTTCACGCCTCAGCCCCAGGCAGTTGTGCTAAATGGGCAAGGCAGACCAGTTATAAGACAATACAGAGTGGTGGAGCCTATAGTGAAAGGAGAAAAAAAGGAGCCTTTTTGACTGTCTTAAAAAAGAGAGAAAAACAAAGGACACTAAAATCCTGTTTAAGCATAATCAAAATATATCAACTATATTTTCCAGCAAACTGTATGGGATAAGGATTCCCATGGTATGGATAATGTCTGCTACTACCAGAGACTATCCTATTTTGGTGAGAAAAGATTAGGTATAAAAAAATCCTAGGTGTGGATAATGACAGGCCAGACGGTAAGGAAAGAAAGCTAGACTTGAATGGAGCTGGGTTAACCTAGAACCAGAACTGGGATGAATTTGGTTTCAGGGCTAGCCACTGATACAGTTAAAGCATCTAGATCATGATATTCAATGGGGATGTTTAACTCAGCCTAGAGTAATCAGTGTGTTTTTAGTCAATAAGGACTGATATGACGGATAAGACATGGCAGTAGGCATTTTTGAGATGTAATGTTGCTGAGAGTCAGACCAGTGACAGCAGCATGCATTCTGGATGTTGGGTGTGGGCGTGTGGCTAAGAACTAGGCATAAAGGAAACTCGATTTAACTCTTGAGGGAAGTTGGGTAGCATGAGATCATGAGATTAATAGAGGTTCTATTAATGAGGAAGTACACTAGAGTTTGGAACAGATTTCTAGGAATTCAGAGTACAAATTGAGAAAACAAAGATGGAAGGCTGTAATATGGGTTGAGCATAAATGAAGGAGAACAATGGATGACTGTAAAGCAGCAAATACTTATGTATTCAAGACACACTTCCAGGCACATGGCATGTCAGACTGAAGACAGCATTATCACCTCTAGATTCCATTCAATTGATTCCTGATATTCTGCCAGGTAAGATTATTATAAACTCAAAAAAAGTCAGTGGGGCTAAACCTACAGTTTGGAAGTATAATGGGAGCAACTAAGTGGGGCTGGGGCTGAGACTGGGAAAGTTGGGAAATAACAGTCCTTCAGCTTCGTCAAACTTGTCCCTGCTGTTCACCTTGGTGAATATGTCATCTTTGTCTTCTTGGTGTACACAGAAGAAAGAGTTATTTTTTTTCTAATTTTATTTTTCTCGGAAATCAGTGAACTTATCTTAAAGTCTAATACAATTCCCGTGTCATATTCCAATCTCCTGACATGCTAGAATGAAAGGAGACGTTGCAATAGATTATCTGGGTTAGAGTTTGGGGGCTTAACCCAACTTTACTGCTAGTCTCTGAGGGATGTAGTCTTCTGTAAACATGGTAAAGTCAGGGGTAATGTGAACAAATAATGATATTGAAAAAGTTTTTAATGTAGTGAATAAGTGTGATGGTTAGTATTAGGTGTCAACTTGACTAGACTGAGAGATGACTAGATGGCTAGTGAAGCATTGTTTCTGGATGTGTCTGTGAGGATGTTCCCAGAGGAGACTGAAATGTGAGTCAGTGGAATGAGAAGAGGATCCTCCCTCCATGTGAGTGGGTACCATCCAATAGTCTGGGAACACTCCCACAATAAAGCAGACAGAAGAAGAAGGACATTTCAGCTTATTGGTTTATTCTTTTCTTCATACTATCACTCCCTTCAGGAGCAGGAAACCCTTTTTCTTTTCCTGCCCATAGACATCAGGTTCCAGGTTCTTTGGCGTTTGGACTCCAGGATTTGCCCCAGAGGCCTCCTTGGGCCTCTCACATCTTCGGCCTCAGACTGGAGGCTGCCCTGTCAGCTTCTCTAGTTTGGAGATTTCAGACATGGACTGAGCCACACTACCAGCTGCTCTGGAAGCCATCCTACCATCTTTTGTCATTCTCCAGCTTGCAGACAGCCAATCCTGGGACTTTGTCTTTGTGATTGTGTGAGCCAATCCCTTTCATATCTATCTGTCTCTCTGTCTGTCTGTCTGTCTATGTATCTACCTATCCTATTGGTTATGTCCCTCTGGAAAACTCTGACACATGCTAGTGCAGTAGGGTACAAGAATAAGATTCTTCCACAGATAAGATACTCTGCATTTAAATAGGAGGTAATGTCTTAATTCAGAATGGAATGCCTTGTTTGGCATAGAACCTAATATGGTTTGGCTGTGTCCCCATCCAAATCTCATCTTGAATTTCCATGTATTGTGGGAGGGACCCAGTGGGAAGTAATTGAATCATAGGGGCGGGTCTTTCCCATGCTGTTCTCTTGACAGTGAATGGGTCTCATAAGATCTGATGGTTTTAAAAATGAGAGTTTTCCTGCACAAGCACTTCTCTTGTCTGCCACCATGTGACACGTGCTTTTCACCTTCTGCCATGATTGTGAGGCCTCCCAGCCATGTGGAATTGCGAGTCCAATAAACCTCTTTCTTTTGTAAATTGTCGCATCTTGGGTATGTCTTTATCAGCAGCAGCATGAAAAGACTAATACAGAACCCAAGCCATCACTTGTGAATAGAAGACAGGGTCCAGCTACTAGATGAGACGTTGGCAAGGGCTGGATGGAGAAATAGGGCTGAATCTAAATGGAAAAGAGTTTGGGGACACAGCTCCAAAGGGAGACTAAACAGCTATAAAGGAATTATGGCAGATGCCCAGTGTTGATAGTGAGGTAGATATTTCGGTGCTCAGAACAGCAAGACCAGTTTCAGACTCCAGCCTATGATGTAAATAGGGTTCCTAATATTCTGCTAGTTTGGACAAATCTTCCAGTGTTGGCCCATCACCTGGTGGCACAAAGCCTACAATCTGATGAAACAGTCCCTGTGGCTGAGTAGGGCTGAAAAAGTCAAGGCTTCACACTTTGGTTTTACAAATTCAGAAGACTATTTAGAATAATTATGAAAATTGATTGACTATTAAATCAGTGTATACCTAGACCTTACTATACTGAGAATTAGAGAAAATTGCAGACTATTGCACCTTACCCTGAGCCTTCACTCCTGAAAGAAAATAATTATAAATTGTAGAAGAAACAATAAAGGAACTGTATATCACACTGTAAATTGAATGGACCTTGGTATACTGTTATTATAAATGATTTAATGAAAGCTGCTCTCCAGATACGAAACTTTGTAATCAACAGAGCACCAAGACCGGAAAGAAATACTTTTAATTTGGTGGCTCAATGATAGGAGTACAATAAATGAGATCAAGAGGCAGGCTCAGAAAAAGCAGTAAACTCAGCCAAAGTTGCAGACCCATGAGGAAAAGGGAAGCAGGACAGGGTCCCATTGTTCCCACTTCCTCCCAAGTACTTCTGTCTCCATCTGCTGGAGGAAATTATAATAGCTCAGGCCTGTGTTTCTTAAACACTTTGATTATGAAATAAATACATCTCAGTAGCTTTCCTACCGTCTGTGGTTAACATTTAGAATGAAAAGACATGACAACTGAGAGGAGTTCTGTAAGTATACATGCAAGCTTCTAACAGGGCACTTTGATAGTTACCTCTGAATCTAGTCTTTCTTCACATTGCATGGTTGAAGATAGGTGATCTGTCTGTTCCAAATTTCTCCTTTTAATCACACAAGGAAGTCCTTTTACAAAGACATGAAGAGCTACCACGGGTGTTTGCGTTCCACCTGAGGGATGCCTCAGGATATATTCCAGACCTATCTACATCTAGATTACTTTTTCATTTATTGTATTATACTCCTCTCCGCCCTGTTTAAAATCTAGTGTTAAATTTGCTGATGAAGAAAGACCTTTATATTGGAGACAGTTTGGGACTATTTACCTTGACTTTGACTCAAGTGAGTTACAGTAAACAACCCCTGCATTTGTTTGTTAGCTGCCGCACATATCACTATTATTGGTCATCACCATCCTACTCTATGTTTGTACATGAACACTCACCACATGTCTAAGGACTCTGCACAGCTCGGCCTTCCCTTAGATTCACCAGGAAGTGAATAAAACCATCATGTTGCTTTTTAGCACTAGTAGGCCATATTCTATTTTGTCACAGCCCAACTTGTTAAAAATGCCTATCTCCATCTTCAGGTGAGCTTATTTTGTCCCCAGTGGAAACCATAATAGAAAACGCCACATGAGCATTTGACTCTTTGCCTTGAATATAAATGATGATATACAAGAAAAGATTTAATTACTTACACAGTAGCTGAGAAGCAATGCCATGCAGTGTTTATGAGCCAGCTGTTAGCATGCATGGGTGCAGACTGACAGCAGAATCAGCAAAAAATTGGCTCAATCTTTGAAAAACGTTTTTGTGCCAAGCACATTAAGTTTTAATTACAAGCACTTTGAAATATTCATGGTTACTGAATTTACTTATTCCCTAGCAGAAACAAGATAAAAAATTATTTTGAAATCTAATGACAAAAAACACTTGATACTGACAACACACAGTTGTGTAATGCCTAATTAATAACTCGTAGGAAATAAGCATTTTGTTCTGAGTTGTTTATTATGCTTAATACCATGCTATAACAAATCAAAATGTGGCCTCTACCATAATTCTGCATCTCTCTAAGAGATATACTCAACATACACAGAGATGACCTTTGTTAATATGACAGTTATTGCAGGTATCTACATGTACCTTGCTAAGCCATAAAAGTTTTTCAGCTTTCCCAGATCATCTTGTCTCACCATTCCTATGCACACATATATCCTGGTATGTATATACTATTCCCTGAAACTTACGTTCGGTACCTCACTTTTCTCTGAATTCTGGCCTCTATGAAATTCAAATATTTACTCATTAAATGAAAACCAGTTGAGGACTATTATGTGCATACTCCATACTAGGAACATACAATACTAAAAATAATAAGATACAGCCTCTGCCATCAAGGATTTCATAATTTAAAGGCCAAGCTACTCATGTAAACAAAGAAGACTAACACAAATTAAGAAGTGAGAGCAGAAAGAAAAAGTTTAAATAGAATTGAAGTAGGAAGAAAGCATGCTTTGGTAATGCAATGATTTGGTGGAATCAGCCACCAAACACCTGTTCCAATAACACCTGTTTCCATAACACCTGTTCCAATCCAATCAATCTATTTATTCTTCTTAATAAACACTTCCTATAGCCCATATTTTGTGTGATGACCCCAGCTATTTGTGCTTGCCCTTCTGCTAGTATTAACTGTAGCCACCAAATCTCTTCACAATCAGTAGTTATCTGTGAGGTTCACGTTAGAGGGCATCGCTGAAGATCTGAGTGAAAGGGGTGCTCAACTCTATCTCAAAGCTTGACTGTCCCTATTAAGTGCAGTTTTTCCTCCATAATTTTAGACTCTTCTCACAATATAATTTTTAAAAAATGTTCTCAATATGCAAATCTAAGACTATCTACATCAGAGTCATTTGGGCATTTGTTAAAACCTCATATTCTTGGGCCATACTCTCAGATACATGAAATCAAAATTTTTTGGGATAGGGCATAGGAATTTATGAAATGAATTCTGTTATAATCTGAAATTTGCAAACAGTACAAGGACCATATCTTGTCAAATTCTCTCAACTTTATATCCTGGGCTGCTTTTCTCTTGATTGTGCCTTCAAATTATTTTCACATTGATTCATTCATTTCTGAATAAGATTGACAAGATTCCTAGGTTTATGAATCTTACATTCTACAAGAATTCTAATAATGCACCAATACAAGCTCTTGAGAGTATTTTCTAACATTTTTATTGAGATATAACATGTAAACAGTAAAATCCAGAAATCTTAACGTATACCTTAATTTTCTTGTATTTATACACCCATGTAACCACCAAGAAGAGCAAGAGATAAAATATTTCTAGCATCCTAGAAGGTGTCTTCATGTCCCTTCTTAGTCAATACCATCTCATTCTCCTTCATGCAAGGCCACCACTATTGTAATTATCACCATATATTAGTTTTCCTTGTTTTATCATGACAGACTAGCATTTGCTTGTATAACTGTTATACAATATTTATTCTTTTGTGTCTGGTTTTTATGTTTGGATTTTATGTTTGTGTCACATCCATGTTTTTGTATGTAGCAGTAACCCATTATTTTTATCATAGCTTTTCATTATATGAATGTTAAACTATTTATACATTCTACTGTTGTTGCACATTTGGATTATTTTCAGTTTATAGCTATAATAAATTAAGCCACCATGAATATACTTGTACATATCCTTTGGGAAACCATGCAATCATTTTTCTTGGGCATATATTCAGAATATGATTGCAGGCTCATTGAGTAGATGTACGTTTACTGCCAAACTATTTTCTAATATGGCTCTAGATTTTGCATTCTTATCAGCAATGTATAAGATTTCCAGTTACTCTACATCTCTCCCAACTCTTGTTATTTTTACTTTTTTAAAAAATTTTACTTTAAGCTCCAGGATGTATGTACAGAACACACAGGTTTGTTACATAGCTATACATATGCCATGGTGGTTTGCTGCACCTATCAACCCATCATATAGGTTTTAAGCCCCGCATGCATTAGGTCTTTGTCCTAATGCTCTCCCTCCCCTTGCCCTCCACCCACCCTGGTGGGTGTTGTTCCTTTCCCTGTATCCCAGCGTTCTCATTGTTTGGCTCCCACAATTGAGAACATGTGGTGTTTGGTTTTCTGTTCCTGTGTTAGTTTGCCGAGGATGATGGCTTCCAGCTTTATCCACGTCCTTGCAAAGGACATGATCTCATTCTTTTTTATGGCTGCATAGTATTCCATGGTGTATATGTACACGTTTTCTTTATCCAGTCTATCATTGTTGAGCATTTGGATTGGTACCATGTGATTGCTATTGTAAATACTGCTGCAATAAACATATGTGTGCATGTGTCCTTATAGTAGAATAATTTATAATCCTTTGGGTATATATCCAGTAATGGGATTGCTGGGTCAAATTGTATTTCTGGTTCTAGGTCCTTGAGGAATTGCCACACTGTCTTCCACAACGATTGAACTAATTTACATTCCCACCAACAGTGTGAAAGGGTTCCTACTTCTCCACAGCTTCATCAGCATCTATTGTTTCTTGACTTTTTAATAATAGCCATTCTGACTAGCATGAGATGGTACCTTATAGTCGTTTTTATTTGCATTTATCTAATGTTCAGTAATGATGAGCTTTTTTCCCTGTGTTTGTCGGCCGCATAAATGTCTTCTTTTGAGAAGTGTCTGTTCATATCACTGTGGTTTTGATTTACATTTCTCTAATGATCGGTGATGTTGAGCTAAAATTTCGTTAGTCTTGTCTTTTATTGTTCTGTTTCAGAAATGTTTGACTACCCTAGCCTCTTGAAAGTCTTCATCTATGCTCTTAAAATGAAATACATATATATTTGTTTATACCTGGAATGTTCTTATGTGTATATTGTGAGGCAAGTATCCTATTTGATTTTCCCCAAGAGATACATAGTTATTCCAGCTCTACTAATTGAAAATAATCCCCCCAAGGATCTGCAATGCTTCCTCTTTCTTGAATGAAAACTATGAAGATATTCTCCTATGTTCTCCAAGAAGCTTTATTGTTTTCCCCTTCATGTTTAAGAAATGTTGTCAAAGTAGCCTTAGTGAATCAGTCCTTGATGCTTAAGCTGAGATTTAAAGGATCTATCCTAAATAACAGGGCAAAAAGTTGCATAAGGGAAGAGGCTAACATTGTGAAAGAATAAAACTGCAGGTAAGAGCAAACTTAAAGTAGGAGGAATATGACATTTGACAGACCGAAACAAGACCAGTTTGGCTAAGATGCAGAGGGAGCCAAGCACATTACTAAATGAAGCCTTGGAAATAGTGAGGGGCTGGAAAATACAGGCTTTTGTATAATAATTTTTAAATTTTGGCTTCTCAGAGCAGTAGCAAGACATTTGAGTTTTGATAATTAGCACACTACTACAACGTGAAGAAATATTGTGGGGAGAGTAATGTAAATAAGGGTAAATCAGAAGGCAGAAGTTCAGATGAAAGATGATGACAGACACACAACACTGTACAAGAAAAATAGAATTTGGGGATGGAGTGGAAGTATGGAGAGAAGATCATTCATTAAATATTTGATGCATTTACCTCAATTTGTTTTTCATACAACCAAGTGAGGATGGTAGCCAGATATTTAGATGTATAGTTCTGGATTTCAAAGATAAGAGCTATTCATTACAAATCCTTCCCCATGCCCTCTGTTACTTATACAAAATTATTAATAACACTTTTCTCCACAAGCTGCCTTAACTAAAGCATATGTGTCCTTTTGAGTTGTAATATCCCTTTTCAAGTGGAGGCTCTTCATCTATTTCAGAGTAGGAAGGGATATCCATCATTCTTCTTTCCTATGAGTGTAATAAGGCCTTTCTTCTTACCATAATAATATAAATTTTTTTTGCTCCTTTGAGACTTATTATGTCCATCTGTGTGCCTCCTATTCTGCCACCTTGTCACTGTCATCTACAGACTGGTTCAATTATGTCCATCTGTGTGCCTCCTATTCTGCCACCTTGTCACTGTCATCTACAGACTGGTTCAATCTATTCCTCTCTACTCTGAATTTTTTTAACATCCTGGAAAAGAACTCTCTTGTGTCAGGAATCTACTCAACATCTTAGTTTCTAAGTTCCTTCAACTCCTAGTTTTATATAAAAATTCCTTCCTTTTGCCATCCACTGTTAAGGGCATAAGCTGAATATTGTCATCACCTAAATATGCTTCATTTCTAAAGTCATTAATTCAAATGTCCCACTCACTAAACATAAATTTCTGTCCCAATGTAAATCCAGTTCTGTTAGAAGCACTGTCTTTCATCTCAAAAGGAAGCTCTTCATACACCCACAGTCCTCCACCATTCAGATTTTAGAATTGAGATTGATATTCTACTAGCTTCACAAAATTGCTTTCCAAATATTATTAATCCATATTTTATTTTTAAAAATACATCTTTCTATTTGTGAGCTTCATGTCTTCTAACCAAGCCATCTTCTCCCACTTCTTATTGTATTCACACATCTCCCCATCACAAGCTTTCCTCTTCCAATTATTCATTCAAGGCAAAGGCACCTGGTGTACAGACTTCTAGTTATTCCAAGCTTTGCTGTTATCCCATGTAACTTTTATGTACATACACATCAGCTGTTCAACATTCCTGTCTCTCATTTTCTTGACATCCAATTCATCTCTTCTATAGGCTACTTCAACTGACTTGTGCAATCACACACGAGGACCATCACTCAAAAGTATTTCTCCTCCAAATCATTCCAGTTTTTGAAAACTCTAGTATATTCATTTATTTGTTATTTCTACTATTGTTTTTTGAACTTACAGGAACTTCAAATTCTTAGTCCTCCCTCAAATTCCTTCTTAATTTTTAGCTCTGTCCTTATCTTATAGAGTTGATATGGCTCATCACTTCAACTACTATTTTATTTTAATCTCCCCACTTTCACATACATCTGGTAATATCCTAACCGTGGATAAACGTACATTTCACCTCCTCTACTCTTGCAACAACATTGGAAAAAGTAACAACACTTGGCTGTTGATACCACTAAAAATAATCATTGCCAGCCTTAACTGAAGCCCAAATACTAAGTAGCCATCCTACTAAGGTTCTCTAATCTGCTTGCTTCTCTACTTCTCTACAATGACTATCACAAATCTTCCCCACTTTCCTGAAACTTCCTACATCAAAAATCTGTCAGACACAAGACAAGACGGCCAACTAGATACAGCCAGAAGTGCCACTCCTACTGAGACTACCAAGGTTTTGAGTAAAACAACAAAATTTAGACAGATATTTGGAGGGAAAATGCCATGAGTGGGTAGAGACATGATGTAGATGCTGAAGCTGACGATGGAGTAGGCTGGAAACACTACGTGGGGTACCCAAACACTGGGGCTAGTTCCTGACCCAAAATGCCTCCTGGGAAACTGGCAAGTAAAGGGAGTATATGATTGTTCACCCTCACTGTGGACCACAGGGATCCTGGCTACAGGGGTCCCACATACTCCATAGACATTTGAGCTGACGGGGATCAGCCCAGAGAGTAGAAAGACATGGAGCTTCAATCAGCATAAAATTAAAGTATTATACAGCTCTGGGGAAGCATGGCTATAGACGCCAACCACCTAGGGTTCCCCAACTCGCTCTGAAACGCTCTAGCCCCAGCTGACCAACAGGCCAGAAGAAAATGAGGCCTACTTCCCCACAAAACTGTGGCATGTCTGTTCTGCAGCCTATCCTGCCCAACAACCTCTCAAAGGACCCCTCTATAGCTACCCTGCAGGAGCATGTGCACAGCACAATCTCTGCTACCAAGCCTGGGTGCTTCTCCACTTGATTACATTCCTGGTGGCCTGGGAGAATTTCAGATCTCTCAGCATACCCAGAACCTAACTGTGAGGGTTGAGAGGATGGAGCCACTAGCTGATCTCAGTACCCCAGGGCTGTGACTCACAGCTCAGGAATGCCAAGCAGAGACCAGTGAACAGCACTCAAGAGGAAGAGGAGCCCATACTCTCAGAGCATTGAGAGGGGTGAGTTGCATGAATTTATGGGCTAGAGCAGGAGCAAGCCATGTATCCCTCCACAGGGTTAGCCCAGAAAGGTTGTGGCCTATTTCCCTTCTGCAGCTTCTTCCCAGGGATCCCAGAGTTCTGGAACACCTCACAAAAGAGAGGTGGGCACAGTGCCAATGATTGGAGGGGTCTCCCCCAAGGCCCAGGAGAGGACTAAGTGAGAAGGTCACCTCTCTGTCCCCTGCACTGCAAAGCATGGCTGTAAACACAAGGAAATACAATGGAGCCACATGGCTGAGTAAGAGTTTATCTACCATGCATTACTCTTAAGCACTATCTACTGGATCAGAGCCCAAACTACAAGGTCAAAAATATTTTGCTAATATGTCCCTTGTAAAACCAAAGGCAAGAATGAAGCCATAAATAAAGACCCTGCACAGAGCTTAGGCCCTCTAAAAAATCCAGAAATGAAGCCAACTAACTATACTCAAAATACAGTAAAAAGAACACCAACCTTTCCACATGAGAAAGAATCAATGTAAGAACTCTGGCAATTTAAAAACCACGAGTGTTCTCTTAACTTCCAAATAAGTCCACCAGATCCCCAGCAATGGTTCTTAACCAGTCAGAAATGACTGAAATGGCAGACAGAGAATTCAGACTCTGGATGGCAAGAAAACTCATGGAGATTGAGGAGAATATTGAAACTCAATTCAAGGAATCCAGTACAAGGATCCAAGGGCTGGAAGACAAAATAGCCATTATAAGAAAGATTCAAACTGCTCTGATATGGTTGACATTGTAAGAGTTTGATAATACAAGCAGAAGTACTAACAGCAAAATATAGCAAGCTGAGGAAGAAATCTCACAGTTTGAAGAAGAGTTTTTTTAAGCAACTCAGACAAATATAAAAAAGCATTAAAAGTGATTAAAACCTCTGAGAAACATGGAATTATGTAAAGTGACCAAATCTACAACTAATTGGCATTCCTGTGAGAGGAGAGAGAATAAGTAATTTGGAAAATATATTTGGGTATATAGTGCAGGAAAATTCTCACTAAGAGGTTGACATGCAAATTCAAAAAATACAGAGTCCACCAGCTTTATACTATACAAGGTGAACATTCCTAAGATATATAGTCATCAGTTTAACCAAGGTTAATGCAGAAGAAACAATCTTAAAAGTAGCTACAAAGAACGGTCAAGGGTTATACAGAGGGAACCTCATCAGCAGCAGACCTCTCAGCAGAAACTTTATAAGCCAGAAGAGTTTGGGGGCCTATTTTCAGTGTACTTAAATAAAAGAAATTACAAGCAAAAATTTTATATCTCACCAAACTAAGCTTTATAAGTGAAAAAGAAATTAAAATCTTCTCAGACAAGAAAAAGTTAAGGAAATTTGTTTCTTTTGTAAAAAAAAAAAAAAAAAAAAAAAAAAGTGTGTTCACGGTAGGTGTATATATTTGTGGTATGAGATTTTTTATACAGGCATGAAATGTGTAATAATCAGATCAGCGTAAATGGATCGCCCATCACCTCTAGCATTTGTGTTTTAAAATGCAATCCAATTATACACTTTTAGCTATTTTTAAATGTGCAATTAAATTATTTTTGACAACAGTCATCCTCTTGTGCTGTCAAATACTAGACCTTATTCATTCTTTCTATTTCTTATACCCATTAATCATCCTCATTTCTTCCCACCCTCTGCTACCCGGCCCAGCCTCTGATAACCATCCTTCTACTCTCCATCTCCATGAATTCAATTGTTTAAAATTTTAGCTCGAAATGTTGTGGGAATTAAGGGATGGGAGAGACCAACGGGTGGAACAGGAGGATTTTATTTAGGTGGCCATCAGCCCAGCAGATTAACATCCAAAGGCTGAGCCCCAAACAAAGACAGGGCTTGACTTTTATACATACATCTGAAAATGGCATGAAACCTGTAAGGCAGGTAACCAAGCTTACAGAAGCAGAACAAAGGCAGTTTATCAGTGACAGGTTTTACAACTCAAGCCAGGTGTTGCAACTCAGGCATATCTTGTGACCTTCACTGTGCTGCACAGAAGGGAAAAACAGGAACTTACAAAACTTGCAAAGATAATTGTGCGAACAGTAAGCAGGTAAGGGGGAAGCTGAAAGAGAAAAACTTGTTTTTCCCAACCTTGCTCCAGGATGGGAGGGAGAGACTCTGAAGCCCATCCCTTCTGTGCCCCAGCTCTGCAGATAATGCTATCAAAGCCTTGACAGATCCCTGCCCCTCCCTGGGTCTTGGAGGGAGTCAGCCTAGTACAGGAAAACTTGTTTTTCTTTTTATATCTTCTGCTTCATCACAAATAAATGAGAACATGTAAAGTTTGTCTTTCTGTGCCTAGGTTATTTCACTTAACATAATGACTTCCAGTTCCATCCATGTTTTTGCAAATGACAGGACTTCATTCTTTTTTATGGCTGAGTAGTACTCCATTGTGTATATGTACATTTTCTTTATCCATTTATCTGTTGGTGGAAATTTAGGTTGTTTCCAAATATTGGCTATAGTGAATAGTGCTGCAATATACATGGGAGTGCAGATATGTCTTTGATATACTAATTTCCTTTCTTTTGGTACATATCTAGGAGTGGGATTGCTGGGTCATATAATAGCTCTATTTTTAGTTTGCTTAGGAACCTCCAAACTGTTCTTTATAGTGGTTGTAATAATTCACATGACACCAACAGTATTGGAGGGTTTAGAGAATTTGTTTCAAATCGACTAGCCTTACAAGAGTTCCTTACGGGAGTGCTAAACAATGAATTGAAAGAATGAGACCTGCTACCAGGCAAACACATTTAAGCACACAGCCTACAGGCACTATAAAGAAACTATGCAGTCAAATCTACATAACAATCAGCCAAAAACACAGTTATAGGATTAAAATCTCTCATATCAGTACTAACTCTAAACTTAAAGACGATAAATGCCCCTTTTAAAAGACACAGAATGATTAGCTGAATAAAAAAGACAAGAACCAAACTTCTTCTGTCTTTAAGAGACCCATCTTACATACAACCACACCCACAGGCTCAAAGTAAATGGATGGAGAAAGATCTAGCATGCAAACAGAAAACAAAATAGAGCAGTAGTTACTAATATTATATAAGACAAAACAGACTTTAAAGCAATAAAAATTAAGAAGGGCAAAAAAAAAGGAATTAAATAATGATAAAGAGTAAAATCAAACAAGAAGTCTTAACTATCGTAAGTCTATACATACCTAACATTGGAGTGCTCAGACTCATAAAACAAGTTTTTCTTCGCAGGCAAAAAGACTCAACCACAGAATAATAGTGGCAGATTTTAACATCACACTGACAGCACTGGACAGTTAACTGAGGAAGAAAACTAACAAAGAAACTCTAGATTTAAACTTGACCTTTGACAAACTGTACCTAATGGATATAAACAGAACACTCCAACCAACAACCACAGAATACAGATTCTTCTCATCCGTACATAAGACATATTCTAAGGTCAACTATATGCTTAGTCATAAAGCAAGTGTCAATAGTTTCAAAAAATTGAAATCATACCAAAGACAGACTCAGACCACAGTGCAATAAAAACAGAAATCAATATAAAGAAGATCTCCCAAAATTACACAAATACATGGAAATTAAACACTTTACCCCTGAATAACTCCTGAGTGAACATGGAAATTAAGGCAGGAATTGAAAAATTATTTGAAATTAATGAAAATAGGGAAACAACTTACGAAAATCTCTGGGATGCAACTAAAACAATGGTAAGAGGAACATCAGCCCTAAAATTCCTTTATTGAGAAATTAGAAAGATCTCAAATTAATAATCTAACTTTGCACCTAAAGCAACTAGAAACAAAAGAACACACCAACCCCAAAGTAGCAGAAGACAAATAACTGAAGTTAGAAAACTGAATAAAGTTGAGATGCAAATATCCAAAAACGGATCAATAAAACCAAAGGTTTGTTTTTTGGAAACAATAAACAAGATTGATAGACCGCTAGCAAGATTAACATAGAAAAAAGAGAAGATCCATATAAATACAATCAGAAACGACAAAGATGATGTTACAATTTATCCCACAGAAATATGAAAGATCCTCAGAGACTACTTTAAACAACTCTATGCATACATTTTAGAAAATCTAGAGGAAATGAATAAATTTCTGGAAACACATAATCTCCCAAGATTGAATCAGGAAGAGATTGAAACCCTGAATAAACTAATACCTTGCTCTGAAATTGAATCAGCAATAAAAATATCTACCAAAAAAATTTTTGTTTTGTTGTTTGGATTTAAAGTTGAATTCTACTAGACATATAAAGAAGAACTGGTACAAATTCTACTTAAATTATTCCAAAAAATCGAGGATGAGGTGCTCCTCCGACTGATTCTGTGAAGGCAGCATCAGTTTGATACCAAAATCTGTCAAAGACAATGAAAAAAGAAAATTTCAGACCAATGTCCCTGATGAAAATAGACCCAAAAATTCTCAACAAAAATAGTAGAAAAGTGATTCCAGCAGCACATCAAAAAGTTAGTTCACCATGATCAAGTCACCTTTATTCCTGGGATGAAAGGTTACCTAAAACATATGCAAATCAATGTATATGATTAACCAAATGAATAGAATTAAAAGCAAAAATGATATGACCATCTCGATAGATGTAGAAGAAGCTTTTGATAAAATCCAACATCCCATCATGATTAAAAAAAAAAAACTCAACAAACTAGGCATGAAAGGAATATACTTTGAAATATTAAGAACCATCTATGACAAACCCACAGCCAACATCATATTAAATGGACAAAAGCTGGAAGCATTCCACTTGAGATATAGAACAAGACAAGGATGCCCACTCTCACTACTCCTATTCAACATAGTACTGGAAGTCCTGGCCAGAGCAATCAGGCAAGAGAAAGACATAAAAGGCATCTAAATAGAAAAAAAAAAGTCAAAGTATCTCTTTTCACTGATATTATTCTATACCTAGAAAATGCTTAAGACTCTGCCAGGAGGTTCTTAAAACAAATAAATGATTTTAGTAAAGTTTTAGGACATGAAATCAATGTACCAAAATTAGTAGCATTTCTTTCGATGATTAATGTCCAGACTGAAAGCCAGATCTAGAGCACAATCACCTTTACAATAGCCACAAAAAAATTGAAATACCTAGGACTACAGCTAACCAAGGAGTTGAAAGAGTTTTACAAGGAGAACTACAAAATACTGCTGAAAGAAATCAGAGATGACAAAAATAAATGGAAACACATTCCAAGCTCACGGATTGGAAGAATCAATATCATTAAAATGGTTATACTGCCCAAAGCAATTTACAAATTTAACATTATGCCTGCCAAACTACCAGCATCATTCTTCATAGAATTAGATTAAAAATAGTGTAAAATTCACTAGTAGAACAAGAACAAAAAAAGAGTCTGAATAGTGAAAGTGATCCTAAGCAGAAAGAACAAAGATGGAGGCATCACACTACCTGACCTCAAACTGTACTCTATATTGTAATCAAAACAGCATAGTAGACATACAAAAATAGACATACAGAGCGATAGAACAGAAAAGAAAAATCAGAAATGACGCCATGCACCTACAATCACCTGATGTTTGACAAAATCAACAAAAATAATAAATGGGAAAAAGACTTTCTATTCAATAAATGGTGCTGTGATAACTGGTTAACCACATGCAGTACATATACACCATGGAATACTACACAGCCATATAAAGAATGAAACCATGCCCTTTGCAGCAACATGGATATACCTGGAGGCCATAATCCTAAGTGAATTAACGCAGCAACAGGAAACCAAATACCACATGTTGTCACTTATAAGCGGTAGGCAAACTTTGAGCACTTATGAACATAAACATGGGAACAAAAGATACTATGGACTACTAGAGGGTGGAGGTATGGAGGGGAATAAGATTTTAAAAACTACCTCTTCCATACTATGTTCACTACCAGGGTGACAGGATCTATAATCCAAACCTGAGCATCATACAATATGCTAACTCAAACAACCTGTACACTTACCAGCTGTATCTAAAATAGAAGTTGAAAAACATGTCTGTCTATCACATATGACTCTGAGCAGATGAGTTCACCATCTGAAAATCTAGAGATGTCCATACCTTTTATTTTTTCATTCCCTCCAGTTAGAATGGAAGAGGCATGCCTCCTCCCATCCAAATAATATCATTCAAATTGTGCTTGGGATTCCACACTCTCCCACCTTTTCATCATTCTTGTATTACTATCTGTCTTTTTCTACTGAACTGTTCTCATCCGCAGGTACATGTTAATTTTTTTAAAATTTCCTCTTGATCTCACTACCTCAGTCAATCCTAATGCAGTCCTTCTTAGGAAAAAAATTCTCCACTAAAAAGCTGTCTACATTTCAATACACTGGCCATTCATTTCTCAACCAAATCTAGACTATAATCCACTTCGATGACTATAAAGCTACTGCTCAAAATCAACATAGATGAACCCTATTTTATTCTAACAGATGCTCTTAGTCCTCATATCACCTCATTGCTCTCTAACACTATTCAGTTTATATAGTTTGGATGTTGTCCCCTCTAAATCGCATGTTGAATTTTAATCCCCAAAGTTAGAGGTGGGGCCTGGTAGGAGGTGATGGGATCATGGGGGCAGATTTCTTATGAAAGGCTTAGCACCATTCCCTTGGTGCTGTCTTTGCAATACTGAGTGAGTTCTCATGAGATCTGGGTGCTTAATAGTGTGTGGCACCTTCCCTCTCTCTCTTGCTCCTGTTCCTGCCATGTGACCTTCCTGTTCCTGCTTCAAATTCCGCTACGAGTAAAAGCTCCCTGAGGCCTCCACAGAAGCCAAGCAGATGTTGTAACCATGTTCATACAGCCTGCAGAACAACGAGCCCAATAAATCTCTTTTTAAAAATGAATTACCCCATCTCATGTACTCCTTTATAACAATGCAAGAATGACCTAACACCTCAGTTGATTCTGTACCCCTTCCTTCTTGAAAGACTCTTCACTTGACTTCTTTGACATTATACTCTCTTGATATATCTCCTCTACCTTAACCCTAAATGTGTTGTCCCTCAGATATCTGCCTTATACTTACTTCAGTCACATGCTTCATGAATGATGTTATCAAACCTATGGTTTTAATTATCATAGATAATCTCATGACTTCATAATCTTATTCTCCAATCTAAATCTTTCTCCTGGACAGCAGGTTCATATAAACAACTTTCTAATGGGCATTTTCCCATTGTTTTTACAGCCCTCAGACTCAATGTGTTAAAATAGAAAGTTTTTCTGTCACCAGAAACTTGCTTTTTCTCCTGTGCTCCCAGTTACAGTAAAAGGTAAAACTACCTACAAAAGCAAAAACATGAGACTTAATTTGATTCTTCTCTTTCACTTTATCCTCACCATGTACCATAGGTTTACTACCTTTGCCTTGACTCTACCTATTTAACTCGATCTCTGCTGCATCATTTTCATAAAGCACTGAAAACAGTATCCAACCTGATCATACATTCTTGCCACCCTCTTGTCCCTTTGACACACAGCATGCATAATGATATTGAACAAATCAATTTTGATCATTTATGTCCCCATTAACAAAATAAATAACTCTCATTTAATGTCTTTTATCTGTAGATGTGAGTCTTTCACCCAAAAATCTGTATCTGACTTATGGATAGACAGCTAGATGGTCAGTTTCTTAGTCTTTATTGATTTAAAATTAGAAAACATGAATTCACGATTATAGAGTGTTGGCAAATGGCAGCAAGTATTTGATGGCTCTCTTGGATGCACTTCAATATTAAGATGAAATGAAGACTGAGGAATAATATAGAGATGTCTGAATAAAAACTATTATCAGTGCACCGTTAGATGTGAACTTGACAAGCACATTACACTCAACAGCTGGAAGGTTGGATATTTCAACTTAGATGTCAGAGAATAGATTCCAATTCCAGTTTCTGGTTTTATTTGGCTCTGAAAAATATTCAACATGTTCTGTTACAGCATTTAAATGTCGGTTTTAACTATGCCTAATGATATGCTATCAGTTTCCTTCTGCAGTGAGTGAGGAAGATGTTTAGATTTGGAGAAAGAGCCAAGCTGTTGGTAATCTTTTTGCAAGCCATTTCTTTTTAAGATATTTTGATACATTATCGACAGTATTATAAATTAATTCCATTTTGTCCATAAAATCATTGGTTTGGGGCTGTTCAAGACACTGAATGTGCCACTATTCTGGTGTGAAGACAGTATTTTATTTCATCTTTCCCTTCAAAAACTCTTATGTACATATTTTTTTCCCTAAAAGCAAGCATACATCACTATGTGAAAGATGATTTTTACCATTTCTATAGAAACCATACCAAAAAAATCCATTCATTGGCCACTATTTGATTAGTTTCATAATTTTCACCGGATCAACTTCAGGAGGTATAAGGGATTTATGTGATTAAAGCAGTTTGTGAAATTATTTTCAAGTGCTACTTTACTGTCATAACAAACTAGCACTAGCTCCATCACAGATACTCTTAATGAAAATATTCTTGTCTTAATATTGGTTACAAAAGAATCATTGATTAAATGAGAATTTTAATTTTTTTCTCTTGTACCATGGGTTTTCAGTGATAAATAAAACATGTAATCTAGAAGTTCTTCAAGATATATGTATGATATGTATACAGGACGCTGATTCATACTTTGCAAATCAGTAAAGAAAATTAGAAAAAAATATTTTTATGTGTGACAAGTATTTATTTTATAAACTTTGTGTGTCATAGACATAATGAGATTTCTAGTGGTATCTATCATATTTTTCCAAAATGGTTTTCTGTTTTTTTTTTTTACTATGTATAATGTTTATCATTAATTTGGCAATTTTTTTTTGGCTTATAGACCATACCTACTTGGTTTATTATTTTTCTTTTTAATTAGCTGCTTGAGACTTAACCTATTGTAAGCTATTACATTATCTGTTCAAATAATCTCAGATAAGTTCACATATAATATGAGAACCTAAAATAGTGTATTTCTATTTTCCCACTCTCATACTTTGTGCTATTATTGTTGTGTATTTTACTTCAACAAGTTAAAAACCAAAAGGAAGATGTCATTTTTGTCTTAAAATTAATTCTCAAATAAAAATTAAAAATAAAAAATTATTATTATTTTAAAACTTTTAGGTTCAGGGGTACTTAGGTGCAGGTTTGTTATATAGGCAAATTCATGTCATGGAGGTTTGTTGTACAGATTATTTTGTCCATCAGGTACTAAGCCTAGTACCCAAGAGTTATTGTTTCTGCTCCTCTCCCTCTTTTCACAGTATCTGTTGCTCCTGTGTTTGTGTCCTTGTAATCTCATCATTTACCTTTCACTTATAAGGGAGAACATGCGATATTTGGTTTTCTGTTCCTGTGTTAGTTTGCTAAGGATAATATGGCTGTGTTTTTTGCTGTTGTTGTGTCCCTGCCAGTTTATGGTATTAGGATGATGCTGGCCTAATAGAATGAGTTGGGGAGGAATCCCTCCTCCTCAGGTTTTTTTGTTTTGGTTTGGTTTGTTTTTGTTTTCGTTTTTTGGAGTAGTTTCAGTAGCAATAATACCAACTTGTCTTTGTACATCTGATAGAATTTGGCTGTTAATCTGTCTGTTTCTGGGTTTTTATTGGTTGGCAGGCTGTTTATTACTGATTTAATTTTGGAGCTCGTTATTGGTCTGTTCAGGGAATCAATTTCTTCCTGGTTCAGTCTTGGGAGGGTGTATATGTCCAGGAATTCATTCATCTCTTCTAGGATTTTTAGTTTGTATGCATGGAGGTGTTCACAATAGTCTCTCGTAGTTGTTTGTATTTTTGTGGTGTCAGTGGTAATATCCCTTTTGTTGTTTCATATTGTGTTTATTTGGGTCTTCTCTCTTTTCCTTTTTACTAGGCTACCTACGGTTTTACCTATCTTATTAATTTTTCAGAAAAACAGCTTAGGAGTTTGCTAAACTTTTGAATTTTGTTTTCTTGTCTGGATCTCCTTCAGTTCAGCTCTGATTTTGGTTATTTCTTGTCTTCTGCTAGCTTTGGGGTTGGTTTGCTCTTGCTTCTCTAGTTCTTTCAGCTATGATGTCAGGTTGTTGGAGACCTAACTTTTTGATGTGGGGGCCCAGTGCTAAACATTTTCCCCTTAACACTGTTTTGACTGTGTGCCAGAGATTCTGGTATGTTGTATCTTTGTTTTCATTAGTTTCAAACAAATTCTTGATTCTGCTTTAATTCCATCATTTACCAAGAAGTCATTGAGAAGCAGGTTGTTTAATTTCCATGTAATTGCATGGTTTTGAGCAATTTTTTATTTGTGGTTTCTGGGGTTTTTTGTTTTGTTTTGTTTTTTTGTTTTTTTTTAGACAGGGTCTCACTCTATCACCCAGGCTGGAGTGCAGTGGTGCGAATCTGGCTCAGGGCAACTTTGGCCTCCTAGGTTCAAGCAATCCTCCCACCTCAGCTTCCAGAGTAGCTGAGACTACAGGCACATGCCACCATGCCCAGCTATTTTGTGTGTGTGTGTGTGTGTGTGTGTGTGTGTGTGTGTGTGTGTATTTTTTGTAGAGATGGCTTTTTGCCATGTTGCCCAGGCTGGTCTCAAACTTCTGAGCTCAAGCAATCCTCCAGCATCAGCCTCCCAATGTGCTGGGATTGTAAGTATGAGCCACTGCGCCCAGCCTTGATTTCTATTTTTATTGTGCTGTGGTACAAGAGTGTGTTTGGTATGTTTTCAGTTCTTTTGCATTTATTGAGGATTATTTAATATCCACTTGTGCGGTTAATTTTGGAGTATGTGCTATGTGGTGATGAGAAAAATGTATGTTCCGTTGTTTTGGGTGTAGAGTTCTGTAGCAGTCTATCAGATCCATTTGGTCTAGAGTTGAGTTAATGTCCTAAATATCTTTGATAGTTTTCTGCCTCGATGATCTATCTAGTACTATCAGTGGAGTGTTGAAGTCTCCCAGTAATATTATGTGGGAGCCTGAGTCTCTTTGTAGGTCTCTAAGAACTTGCTTTATGAACCTGGGTGCTACTGTGTTGAGTGCATATACATTTAGGATAGTTAGGTCTTCTTGTTGAATTGCATCCTTTACCATTATGTCATGCCCTTCTTTTTCTTTTTTCATTCTTGTTGGTGTAGAGTCTGTTTTGTCTGAATTAGTATTGCAACCCCTGCTTTTTTCTGTTTTCCATTTGCTTGTTAAATTTTCCTCCATCTCTTTAATTTGAGTCTACGGGTGTCACTGCATATGAGATGGATCTCTTAAAGACAGCATAACATTGAGTCTTGCTTTTTTATTCAGGTTTTCACTCTGTGTCTTTTAAATGGGGAACTTAGCCTTACATTCAGGTTAGTATTGATATGTGTGGATTCAATCCTATCATTTTGTTGTTAGCTGGTTATTATGATGGCTTGTTTATGTGGTTGCTTTATAATGTCACTCATCTGTGTACTTAAGTGTATTTTTTTAGTGGCTAGTAATGGTTTTTTCTTTCCATATTTAGTGCTCCTTTCAAGATCTTTTGTAAAGTAGTTCTGCTGGTAACAAACTCTGTCATCATTTGCTTATGTGAAAAGGATCTTATTTTTCCTTTACTTAAGATGTCTAGTTTAGATGAATATGAAGTTCTTCATTGAACTTTTTTTTAAGAATGTTCTATATAAGCCTCCAGTCTCTTCTGGCTTGGAGGGTTTATGCTGAAAAGTCCACTGTTAATCTGATGGGGTTCCCTTCATAGATGACCTTCCCTTTCTCTCTGGTTTCCTTTAACATTCTTTTATTTCATCCTTCAAAAATCTCATGATTATGTGTCTTGGGGATAAACTTCTTGTGCAGAATCTTGCAGGGGTTCTCTGTATTTCCTGAATTTGACTGTCAGTGTCTCTAGAAAGGTTAGGGAAGTTTTCACGGACAATATCCTGAAATACATGTTCTAAGTTGTTTGCTTTCTCTCAGTCCCATTCAGGAATACCAATGACTCATAGATTTGGCTTCTTTACGTAATTGCATATTTCTCAAAGGTTTATTCATTCCTTTTTATTCTTTTGGCTTTAATTTTGTCTCACTGTCTTATTTTAGAGAGCCAATCAAGTTCCGAGATTTCCTCAGCTTCATCTATTTTGCTGTTAATATTTGTGATTGCATTGTGAAATGTTTGTAATGTGTTTTTCAGTCCTATCAGATAACTTAGGTTCTTTTTTATACTGGGTATTTCATCCTTCAGTTCCTCACCATTTTATTGTGATTGTTCATTTCCCTGAGTTGGGTTTTGCTATTCCCCTGAATATTGATCATCTTCATTCCTATCCATATTCTGAATTATATTTCTGTCATTTGAGCCAATTCACCCTGATTAAGCCCCATCAGAGATTCTTGGTATTTCTCAAACCTTTGTACTCATTTAAACTATAGTATTTTTCCTTAATGACTCCCAAGAAACTAGAATATGTGAAGTATTTTCAGTGCCACAAGACAAGAGAGCTAGAATCCAGTCCTTTCAGAAGCAGCCAGGCAAGTTGGGGTACCAGATATGTGGTTCAATTCCTTTTTCCTTGAGGAAGAAGCTGGGAGCTGAATTTTATCACCTTTCTCTGGATTGAACTAGGAAGAGGAACGATGGCAAGTGCCTGCATGCTCATTCAGATCAGACGCTGTTTCAAACCACTGCTCTGGCCTCTGTCACCAGGTTTCCTCATCTCTGTGAAATATACTTGAAAATGCCTCCAGATAAAAATTCAGGAGACGGGGGTGGAGCCAAAATGGCCCAATAGGAACAGCTCCAGTCTACAGCTCCCAGCGTGAGCGACGCAGAAGACGAATGATTTCTGCATGTCCAACTGAGGTACCGGGTTCATCTCACTGGGGAGTGTTGGACAGTGGGTGCAGGACACTGGGTGCAGTGCACTGAGTGTGAGCCGAAGCAGGGCGAGGCATCGCCTCACCCGGGAAGCACAAGGGGTCAGGGAATTCCCTTTCCTAGCCAAGGAAAGGGGTGACAGATGGCACCTGGAAAATCGGGTCACTCCCACCCTAATACTGCGCTTTTCCAATGGTCTTAGCAAATGGCACACCAGGAGATTGTGTTCCGTGCCTGGCTCGGAGGGTCCTATGCCCACGGAGCCTCGCTCATTGCTATCACAGCAGTCTGAGATCAAACTGCAAGGCGGCAGAGAGGTTGGGGGAGGGGCGCCCGCCATTGCCGAGGCTTGAGTAGGTAAACAAAGCGGCCAGGAAGCTCGAACTGGGTGGAGCCCACTGCAGCTCAAGGAGGCCTGCCTGCCTCTGTAGACTCCACCTCTGGGGGCAGGGCATAGCCAAACAAAAGGCAGCAGAAACCTCTGCAGACTTAAATGTCCCTGTCTGACAGCTTTGAAGAGAGTAGTGGTTCTCCCAGCATGCAAATTGAGATCTGAGAACGGATAGACTGCCTCTTCAAGTGGGTCCCTGACCCCTGAGTAGCCTAACTGGGAGGCACCCCCCACTAGGGGCAGACTGACACCTTACACATCCGGGTACTCCTCTGAGACAAAACTTCCAGAGGAACCATCAGGCAGCAACATTTGCTGTTCACCAAGATCCACTGTTCTGCAGCCTCCACTGCTGATACCCAGGCAAACAGTGTCTGGAGTGGACCTCCAACAAACTCCAACAGACCTACAGCTGAGGGTCCTGACTATTAGAAGGAAAACTAACAAACAGAAAGGACATCCACACCAAAACCCCATCTGTACGTCACCATCATCAAAGACCAAAGGTAGATAAAACCACAAAGATGGGGAAAAAACAGAGCAGAAAAACTGAAAATTCTAAAAATCAGAGCGCCTCTCCTCCTACAAAGGAACGCAGCTCCTCAGCAACAACAGAACAAAGCTGGACAGAGAATGACTTTGACGAGTTGAGAGAAGAAGGCTTCAGACAATCAAACTACTCCAAGCTAAAGGAGGAAGTTCAAACCCATGGCAAAGAAGTCAAAAACCTTGAAAAAAAATTAAACGAATGGCTAACTAGAATAACCAATGTAGAGAAGTCCTTAAAGGACATGATGGAGCTGAAAACCATGGCACGAGAACTATGTGACGAATGCACAAGCCTCAGTAGCTGATTCGATCAACTGCAAGAGAGGGTATCAGTGACGGAAGATCAAATGAATGAAATTAAGCGAGAAGAGAAGTTTAGAGAAAAAAGAATAAAAAGAAACGAACAAAACCTCCAAGAAATATGGGACTATGTGAAAAGAACAAGTCTACGTCTGATTGGTGTACCTGAAAGTGATGGGGAGAATGGAAACAAGTTGGAAAACACTCTGCAGGATATTATCTAGGAGAAGACCACAAAGATACTCCTCGAGAACAGCAACTCCAAGATACATAATTGTCAGATTCACCAAAGTTGAAATGAAGGAAAAAGTGTTAAGGGCAGCCAGAGAGAAAGGTCTGGTTACCCACAAAGGGAAGCCCATCAGACTAACAGCTGATCTCTCGGCAGAAACTCTACAAGCCAGAAGAGATTGGGGGCCAATATTCAACATTCTTATAGAAAAGAATTTTCAACCCAGAATTTCTATCCAGCCAAACTAAGCTTCGTAAGTGAAGGAGAAATAAAATACTTTACAGACAAGCAGATGCTGAGAGATTTTGTCACCACCAGGCCTGCCCTAAAAGAGCTCCTGAAGGAAGCACTAAACATGGAAAGGAACAACCGGTACCAGCCACTGCAAAAACATGCCGAATTGCAAAGACCATCAAGGCTAGGAAGAAACTGCATCAACTAACGAGCAAAATAACCAGCTAACATCATAATGACAGGATCAAATTCACACATAACAATATTAACATTAAATGTAAATGGGCTAAATGCTCCAATTAAAAGACACAGACTGGCAAATTGGATAAAGAGTCAAGACCCATCTGTGTACCGTATTCAGGAAACACATCTCACGTGCAGAAACACACATAGGCTCAAAATAAAGGGATGGAGGAAGATATACCAAGCAAATGGAAAACAAAAAAAGGCAGGGGTTGCAATCCTAGTCTCTGATAAAACAGACTTTAAACCAACAAGGATCAAAAGAGACAAAGAAGGCCATTACATAATGGTAAAGGGATCAATTCAACAAGAAGAGCTAACTATCCTAAATATATATGCACCCAATACAGGAGCACCCAGATTCATAAAGCAAGTCCTTAGAGACCTACAAAGAGACTTAGACTCCCACACAATAATAATGGCAGACTTTAGCACCTCACTGTCAACATTAGACAGATCAACGAGACAGAAAGTGAACAAGGAAATCCAGGAATTGAACTCAGCTCTGCACCAAGCAGACCTAATAGACATCTACAGAACTCTCCACCCCAAATCAACAGAATATACATTCTTCTCAGCACCACACCACACCTATTCCAAAATTGACCACGTAGTTGGAAGTAAGGCACTCCTCAGCAAATGTAAAAGAACAGAAATTATAACAAACTGTCTCTCAGACCACAGTGCAATCAAACTAGAACTCAGGATTAAGAAACTCACTCAAAACCGCTCAACTACATGGAAACTGAACAACCTGTTCCTGAATGACAACTCGGTACATAACGAAATGAAGCCAGAAATAAAGATGTTCTTTGAAACCAACGAGAACAAAGAAACAACATACCAGAATCTCTGGGACGCATTCAAAGCAGTGTGTAGAGGGAAATTTATAGCACTAAATGCCCACAAGAGAAAGCAGGAAAGATCTAAAATTGACACCCTAACATCACAATTAAAAGAACTAGAGAAGCAAGAGCAAACACATTCAAAAGCTAGCAGAAGGCAAGAAATAACTAAGATCAGAGCAGAACTCAAGGAAACAGAGACACAAAAAACCCTTAAAAAAATCAATGAATCCAGGAGCTGGTTTTTTGAAAAGATCAACAAAATTGATAGACTGCTAGCAAGACTAATAAAGAAGAAAAGAGAGAAGAATCAAATAGACCCAATAAAAAATGATAAAGGTGATATCACCACCGAACCCACAGAAATACAAACTACCATCAGAGAATACTACAAACACCTCTACGCAAATAAACTAGAAAATCTAGAAGAAATGGATAAATTCCTCGACACACACATCCTCCCAAGACTAAACCAGGAAGAAGTTGAATCTCTGAATAGACCAATAACAGGCTCTGAAATTGAGGCAATAATTAACAGCTTACCCACCAAAAGAAGTCCAGGACCAGACGGATTCACAGCCGAATTCTACCAGAGGTACAAGAAGGAGCTGGTACCATTTCTTCTGAAACTATTCCAATCAATAGAAAAAGAGGGAATCCTCCCTAACTCATTTTATGAAGCCAGCATCATCCTGATACCAAAGCTGGGCAGAGACACAACAAAAAAAGAGAATTTTAGACCAATATCCTTGATGAACATTGATGCAAAAATCCTCAATAAAATACTGGCAAACCGAATCCAGCAGCACATCAAAAAGCTTATCCACCACGATCAAGTGGGCTTCATCCCTGGGATGCAAGGCTGGTTCAACATATGCAAGTCAATAAACGTAATCCAGCATATAAACAGAACCAATGACAAAAACCACATGATTATCTCAATAGATGCAGAAAAGGCCTTTGACAAAATTCAACAACCCTTCATGCTAAAAACTCTCAACAAATTAGGTATTGATGGGACGTATCTCAAAATAATAAGAGCTATCTATGACAAATTCACAGCCAATATCATACCGAATGGGCAAAAACTGGAAGCATTCCCTTTGAAAGCTGGCACAAGACAGGGATGCCCTCTCTCACCACTCCTATTCAACATAGTGTTGGAAGTTCTGGCCAGGGCAATCAGGCAGGAGGAGAAAATAAAGGGAATTCAATTAGGAAAAGAGGAAGTCAAATTGTCCCTGTTTGCACATGACATGATTGTATATCTAGAAAACCCCACTGTCTCAGCCCAAAATCTCCTTAAGCTGATAAGCAACTTCAGCAAAGTCTCAGGATACAAAATCAATGTGCAAAAATCACAAGCATTCTTATACACCAACAGCAGATAAACAGAGAGCCAAATCATGAGTGAACTCCCATTCACAATTGCTTCAAAGAGAATAAAATACCTAGGAATCCAACTTACAAGGGACGTGAAGGACCTCTTCAAGGAGAACTACAAACCACTGCTCAATGAAATAAAAGAGGATACAAACAAATGGAAGAACATTCCATGCTCATGGGTAGGAAGAATCAATATCGTGAAAATGGCCATACTGTCCAAGGTAATGTATAGATTCAATGCCATCCCCATCAAGCTACCAATGACTTTCTTCACAGAATTGGAAAAAACTACTTTAAAGTTCATATGGAACGAATAAAGAGCCCACATTGCCAAGTCAATCCTAAGCCAAAAGAACAAAGCTGGAGGCATCACGCTACCTGACTTCAAACTATACTACAAGGCTACAGTAACCAAAACAGCATGGTACTGGTACCAAAACAGAGATATAGACCAATGGAACAGAACAGAGCCCTCAGAAATAATGCCACATATCTACAACTATCTGATCTTTGACAAACCTGACAAAAACAAGAAATCGGGAAAGGATTCCCTATTTAATAAATGGTGCTGGGAAAACTGGCTAGCCATATGTAGAAAGCTGAATCTGGACCCCTTCCTTACATCTTATACAAAAATTAATTCAAGATGGATTAAAGACTTAAATGTTAGACCTAAAACCATAAAAACCCTAGAAGAAAACCTAGGCAATACCATTCAGGACATAGGCCTGGGCAAGGACTTCATGTCTAAAACACCAAAAGCAATGGCAACAAAAGCCAAAATTGACAAATGGGATCTAATTAAACTAAAGAGCTTCTGCACAGCAAAAGAAACTACCATCAGAGTGAACAGGCAACCTACAGAATGGGAGAAAATGTCTGCAATGTACTCATCTGGCAAAGGGCTATTATCCAGAATCTACAATGAACTCAAATAAATTTACAAGAAAAAAACAAACAACCCCATCAACATGTGGGCAAAGGATATGAACGGACACTTCTCAAAAGAAGACATTTATGCAGCTAACAGACACATGAAAAAATGCTTATCATCACTGGCCATCAGAGAAATGCAAATCAAAACCACAATGAGATACCATCTCACACCAGTTAAAATGGCGATCATGAAAAAGTCAGGAAACCACAGGTGCTGGAGAGGATGTGGAGAAATAGGAACACTTTTACACTGTTGGTGGGACTGTAAACTAGTTCAACCATTGTGGAAGTCAGTGTGGCAATTCCTCAGGGATCTAGAACTAGAAATACCATTTGACCCAGCCATCCCATATACCCAAAGTAATATAAATCATGCTGCTATAAAGACACATGCACATGTATGTTTATTGCAGGACTATTCACAATAGCAAAGACTTGGAACCAACCCAAAGGTCCATCAATGATAGACTGGATTAAGAAAATGTGGCACATATACACCATGGAATACTGTGCAGTCATACAAAATGATGAGTTCATGTCCTTTGTAGGGACATGGATGAACCTGGAAACCATCATTCTCAGCAAACTATCACAAGTACAAAAAAACAAACACCACATGTTCTCACTCATAGGTGGGAACTGAACAAAGAGAACACATGGACTCAGGAAGGGGAACATCACACACCAGGGACTGTTGTGGGGTGGGGGGAGGGGGTTGGGATAGCTTTAGGAGATATACCTAATGTTAAATGACGAGTTAATGGGTGCAGCACACCAACATGGCACATGTATACATATGTAACAAACCTGCACATTGTGCACGTGTACCCTAAAACTTAAAGTATAATAAAAAAAAAAAAACTCAACTGAAAGTAAACCACTAATCAAAGTGAAAAAAAAAATTCAGGAGACTTGTAAAAATCAAACTGTCTGTTTCCGTTTTCTCAGAGTGCTGTGTTGGCTATTGCCCAGTATTTAAAAAAGTTGTTTCATTTGTTTTGTCCAGTTTGCTAGTCATTTGTAGCAGGTGAGCTATTCTCATACCAGTATTTTTTCATGAGAGGTACCATGCAGATGGTTTCTTTACAGAGCATTAATTGTATATTATTGTACCTATTTTTTCATGATGACTATGATGTTGAAAGATGCCCATTTTTTTGTGCCTCCCCTTTTTCAAGAAACAAATTTATGAATTTCTTGATATATTTATATCAAACTTGATTAAGAAAAGATTAGTTTACCAGTGAGGTCATTGTATTTTCTTTAAAAATATGAATTGCTTTAGGTTATGGTTTACCAACTTTTTGTGACAATGAATTTATGGAACTAGAAGAACATTCACCACCAGTTAAATAAAATCTAGTTTTTCAAACATTCTTTGTATTTTTTTCTAATACCAGTTACTCTTCTGGATCCTCTAATGAAATTACTAGGTTAATATATTTACTTTTTCTTCTTGAATTCAAAGATATATGTTCGTTTTATCACTGGTATACTATTTTCTAGTTATGTTCACAGTATAATTCTGAATTGTACTATTTATATTACCATTGTGTTACTACCTTTGCACTATTTGTGTCTGTTGCTGCATTTTTGTGGATTGAGGATGTATCTTTAATTATTTGTAATAAAAAAGACATATATAACAGATACGAGAAATAACATTAAAATGTCATTCTCGTATATTTCCAAGTATAAAAATCTATGGTGATACAAGCGAGAAAAATTGCTTATATTTGTCGGGATAGTGAGATAGAGGGTGTACCAGTGAGGTTTATGGATTACTGGTAATAATCTATATCTTAATAAAAGTGTTGGTTACATGGATGTGTTTACTTAGTGTTGTTTGGATACTTTTAGTATTTTTGCATTTTGTTATGTGTATTTTTTTTAAGACGGATTCTGGCTCTGTCACCCAGGCTGGAGTGCAGTGGCACGATCTCGGCTCACTGCAAGCTCCGCCTCCCAGGTTCACGCCATTCTCCTGCCTCAGCCTCCCGAGTAGCTGGGACTACAGGCGCCCGCCACAATGCCCGGCTAATTTTCTGTATTTTTAGTAGAGACAGGGTTTCACTGTGTTAGCCAGGACGGTCTCGATCTCCCGACCTCGTGATCTGCCTGCCTCGGCCTCCCAAAGTGCTGGGATTACAGGCATGAGCCACTGTGCCTGGCCTGTTATGTGTACCTTATACATTGCCAAAATGTTTTGTTAATGACATACAAGTATATAAACTTAGATGAACTATGCCTGCTAAATGAGGTGCCATTGAGATTAATCAGTGCAATCTTATAGTACATGTGGAAATTTTAATAACATAATAAAATTTGAAAGATGATTTCTGTAAAAATTATGATTAATCTTGCTTTTAATTCTTAATTTTGTTTCTTTTGACATCACTATATTACCTGTGGAACAGCTAATATATGTACAGGGCAAAGTGTCGTTAACCAACCATTGAAGAATGCTGATTTAGAAAGTGGATTTCAGGCCAGGTGCAGTGGCTCACGGTAATCCCAGCACTTTGGGAGGCCCAGGCGGGCAGATTACCTGAGGTCGGGTATTCGAGACCAGCCTGGCTGACACGGCAAAACCCCATCTCTACTAAAAATACAAAAATTAGCTGAGCATGGTAGTGCGTGCCTGTAATCCCAGCTACTCGGAAGGTGGAGGCACGAGAATCTCTTGAACCCACAAGGCAGAGTCTCCTGTAAGCTGAGATCGCACCACGGCACTCCAGCCTGGGAAACAGAGGATAGAGTGAGACTTTGTCTCAAAAAAAAAAAAAGTGGATTTCAGATACTTTGCTTTGTACTTTGCTAATTTTGCTTAAAGCAGCAATAGTATTTGAAGAACTAACATATCCCGTAAGGTGGGTTGACCCATAATGCCTCTCTGGAGAAAACTTTCAGTGGGCATGATGTTCCAGTTAATTCATAATTAAATTTTCTGACAGATACTAGTTATGCATATATATTTTGTTTGTTGTTGAACTGAGAGTTAACGTCTTTATCTACCCTTCCCAATCATTGTTCTTTCCTGCCCTTAGGGGCTTGAGCTGAAGCCTCACACTGCCTCCTAAAGAAACCTTTCCTTGGTGAAATTGCTACATATACCTCTTCAAGTCACTGTTGAGCCCCGCAACTGGGGACCTGAGCTAAAGCTGCACACTCCCTCCTGGGGAAATGATGCTTTGGTAGAACCATTCCATCCACCTATTTTAGTTGTGGCTGTGCCCTGTGCCCCCAGGCCTGGGATGAAGCTACAGCACTCTTTCTTGAGGAAAAAGTGCCTTGGCAGAGTTGATCCATCTACTCCTTATAGTCAGTGATTCTGCACCCTGCACCTGGGAACCAGGTCTAAAGTTGCACACTTCATTTTAGGGAAACAATGCTGTCATGGGGCTGTTCCATCTACCTCTCCCAGTCCCTACTGCACCCTGCCCCTTGGGGTCCAACCTAAGTTACACACCCCCTTCCTGGGAAATGGTGCCTCGGTTAAGTTGCTCCATATGCCCTTCAAAGTCACTGCTACACCCTGTCCATAGGGGCCTGAGCTGAAGCTACACACTTCCTCTAGAGAAATTTAAAAACAATAACAACAGCAACAACAATAAATAACCTGCCAGTTGCTGCTGCACCCTACCCTAACCTTGCTGGTGCTGAAACAATGCCAGTCATTCTGGGAAAACTTTGCCTTGGCTGTCCATTATAGTCACCCCCCTCTGTGCTTGAGCTAAAGAAGTATTCTGCCTCCTGGATACAAAACCATGGCCACCCAGAGCAGTCATCCCCTCCCACTGTCTAAGTTGAAGCAGCAACCTGACTCCCTTGAAAAAGTACCTTGGTCTCCAAAAGTGGTCACTCACCCTGGTACCTAAGCTGAAGCAATGCCCTGTATCCTAGGGAAATGGTGCCTTGGCTTCCAAGAGCAGTCACGCACACTGAGCCTGAGCTGAAGAAGAACATTTCCCTAGGGGAAGTGGTGCTTTGGCCTAGCTGAGCAACTATGCATCCGAGAGCTGAGGTGACATAGCATCCCACATCCCAGGGCAAAAAAAAAAGCAGTGGCTGAGCTAAAATACCCTGTCCCCCAAGCCAGACAACTCTAGTAACCTTCATCCCTGAAGCTGGACTAGGCCCCCGGAGTCTGAGCTTCTGAGAAACCTCTATCTGGGTAGAGGAGTAATCACTGTGCTACTCCGAGCTCCCGCAGGTGTAAACAATAGCTGTGCTCTGCCATTCTGAGGTTCTTGCTACCACTACACCTGGCCTCACAGAGAGTCTAGGATATAGCAGCACCCCACCATTCCAGGGACTACAGTTACCACTAGCAGTGCCCCATCCCTGAGGACCTGAGTTTCCACTGGGCTCTATTGGCTCAGGTTCCCAAATTGCAACCACACCCTGATCCCCAGGTCCAAACATCCAGAATGCCCATTTATCCTTGGAGGCAGACCAGTGCTGTGCCCTGCCGCAAGTGACGGATTTGCAGCAATAACCCAGCCCTGTGGACTAGGAATACAAACGGACTGAAACCAAAAATTGGTCCTTAGTAGTAGCATGTTGAAAGATTCCTGCTATAAAAGCTACTATTAATCTAACTGGAATTCCCTTATATATGACTTGATCCTTTTTTCCAGTTCTTCTTAGAATTCACTCTTTGTCTTTAATTTTTGACAACTTTATTATAGTGAATCTCAGAGAGAACGTTTTTGGATTGAATCTATTTGGGAACTTTTGAGCTTCCTGGGTGTGCAGCATCTAGGAGTAAACTAAAAGTGGAATTTATAATTAGAAGAAAAGCAGAACACAAAAATTTGAAAAATATGTAGATTGGCCATGTGGTAGAGAAGAGAAGAAGATTCTCAGGTAATAAATCCAAGGATTTTGTGGATCAACAACTTGCTAAAGAGATTAGCACAAATAAGAGGGAGCCAGGTGCTGATAGGCAAGACAATGATAAAAAGTCCCTAAAGGCATTTCAGAAATCTTCAAGTTCACCCCTCCCATCAGAGGCGCAGAGGCGTTAAGAGGACAGAATGGTTTTGGCGTCCAGGCCTGGGGCTGCTATCGCCTTGGATTGCCTTGGGAAGCTGCTCCCTACATCCTCACCGCTCCAGCACCAGCCATGGTTTAAACGGTCCCAGGTACTGCTGGTGCCCCTGCTCTAGAGAATGCACACGGTAAACCTTGGCAGCTTCCACCAGATGTTAAGTCTGCAGGTGACCAGGATGAAAGAGGCTTGGTGGCTTCCAATTATATTCAGTTAGTCATCAGAAAACTTGAGACTTTGGGAGAGTGAGAAAGCAGCATCAGCTCTCCTACCTGGTATTGGGAAGTGAAGAGTTTGAACGCAAACTTAAATGTATTCTAAGTTTGCTTCTTCTATGAAGTAGCTTCTTGTATTGAGAGGTGAAAACGTGCTAGCAGCCCTCGCTCGCTCTCGGCGCCTCCTCGGCCCCGGTGTCCGCTCTGGCCGCGCTGGAGGAGCCCTTCAGCCTGTCGCTGCGCTATGAGGGCCCCTCTCTGGGGCTGGCCAAGGCCGGAGCTGGCTCCCTCTGCTGGCGGGGAGGTGTGAAGAGAGAGGCGTGGGCGGGAGCCGGGCGGGGCTGCGCGCCGAGGCCGGCCGGCGCGGTTTCCAGGTGAGCGCGGGCTCAGCAAGCCCCGCACTCGGCCAGGCTGGCGCCTGCTGGGCTTGATCGGAGTCTGAATCCGGTGCGTGGACCACCGTTCCCTCTTCCCGGGATCATTGGCCATGATAGCAGGTCTCCGTCTCTTTCTCGCTTCCCCTCTTGATTGTCTGGGACGAGCTCACTTTGGGCTGCGGGAGTGCCCGGATGAGATAGGCACGTGGATATGGTAAGTAAGGCTCTGAGGAGTCAATTTTGAAGCATGAGTTTTTTACTAGGATGCCCCCAGAATACTACTGCCCCCTTTCCCCTATTTTATACACTGAAAACTATATTTTAAGATTAAATGGAGTGCGAATGCACTAAGAAAGTTCATTGAGGCACAAACCAATATCAGTTCTTAGGTAAAAAATGCTAAAAATTGTTGTGGTTCATATGGACTATTGATTTCATCAGCAGAAAAAATACAGTTTCATTCATTTGAAAAATCACATTCAGTGCTCCATGGCAAGAGTATTACAACAAATTCTCTTCAAATTCTCCATGTTTGGTGTTCATAACCCACAGGGTCAAGATAGTTAAAGTTGGAGCAGTCCCTTTGTCAGGGAATAGAAAAAACTTTGGGAGGAAGTCCAATAGAGTTAAAGAGTCCAGTGATTAGAAAACAGGAAGCTGCCCTCTCAAGAATGCATATGCACCAATAGGGTCTAGCCATCAGGTATAAACAGAAATCTAGTTTAGACGGATAGTCAGTACCAGAGAATTCTGGCATTATGCAGCCGGTATCACAGACATTATTGAGCCAGAGGGCTAAGTCACAACAGCCACACTTCTGGAAGGATTAAGTGATACAAAGTGAAACTCTAATTCCTAATTCTAAATCCTATAAAGCTTGAAGGAAAGCAAACAAGTGAGGAACATACAAACGGGGAGAAAAACCATGGATCCAATTACTGAGTATAAGATAACAGTTTTATTTCCAAGGTGAACAGGCAGGATCACAAAGTTTGAGCTTTAGTAAAAAGGAAAATGTCCTTTCAAGAATACAAATGTACCGCACTTTGGGAGGCCGACACGGGCGGATCATAAGGTCAGGAGATCGAGACCATCCTGGCTAACACGTTGAAACCCCGTCTCTACTAAAAATACAAAAAATAATTACCCGGGCGTGGTGGCGGGTGCCTGTAGTCCCAGCTACTCGGGAGGCTGAGGCAGGAGAATGGCGTGAACCCGGGAGGCGGAGCGTGCGGTGAGCTGAGATCACACCGCTGCACTCCAGCCCTGGCGACAGAGCAAGACTCCGTCTCAAAAAAAAAAAAAAACTGCAAATGTACCAAGAGTGTCAGACTCAGAAAGAATGGTAATATAATGCCATTTCCTGCTAATTCAGAAGTTCAGACTTCATTGGTAAGTTTAAGTTCAAGACATTTTGTATGTTTTTCTTCCTTTATCCAGAATACATGTGATTAAAGTTTATATAGATTACGATCTCCACAAGCAACTTAGTTTAAGGCTCCTCATTTTTCCACCATTAGTAGCTAAAAAAGTGGTTCTCACATAATTTATCTGAGATGAAAGTTAACCTCCACCATGAAAAATTTTCCAAGATGTCTCATTGTAAGACAAGAAAATAACATTGCTCTTAGAAAATGAGGCCAAGAGACAGTAAAATCAGCACACAGTGGTTCACAGAAGAGATTTTAAAGTGAGTCATTTTGAAGTGAATCTGACCCCCAGGTCCTTAGACTTGACTGAAGATATTAACACATTTATAAAGAGAGTGCCCCTGCCAAGAAAGTGTAAAAATGAGACAATCTCTGACACTGAGTCTGAAGCCCAGACACTGGACTATAGCGAATTCATTAAAGTTATTTCTCTCAATAGGGCTTCTATTGGAAACACTGAAATATATATTGAGCTTTTCATAATCACACACACACACACACACACACACACACACACACACACTCCTACTTGACACAGGAGTAGTATACTTTATCAGCAATGGTTCAGAAAGATTAGTTTAAAACTTGCATATTGGAATGTGTTTTGCCAAGGCTGACATCCACAACTCTTTTAACTTTGTGATGTTAGATACTCAGAATAATAGTCTTAGAGTCTTAAAAATAAAATTAGCTAAGTGAAAATATTGTTCAGAACCCTTTAGAATCATTTTCTGAAGTTTGCAGCTCATAGTTTTCCTCTAATTAAACTCTGCCTGTTCTATTCAGCTATTTAAATTACACAGAATTTGATGTTCTGTCAAATGCTCTTAAGGATAATGTAGAATTTCTCCCACTAATTTCCATCTTTCATTCAACAATTCTGTTCTGCTAACACAATGTGATGCCAGAGAAAGAGGTGCTTTCTTGTAGCTTTCTTAGCAAAGGGCAATGCATGAACAGAAAATGGATTGTAGGAAAAGTTACTGTGAAGACGTTCAGCAACCGTATTTCTTGTAACCCATCAATTTAAAAAACCCAAAGAGTTTGCTAGAAAGAGTGTGTACTTCTACAAACCTGAAACTACTCATTCAAAGACAGCTCTCATTTCTGAGCAGGAGGGTGCTTCTAAAATCATCAGAAGAGAGTACTCCCTGTAGCTTCCAGCTGAGAGAGACAACAGGCACTTAGCTTGCCATTAAGGGCCCTTGGTACAGTTTAGGGCCCTCAAAATAGTGACCTAGCAAACTGGAGAATGGATAGGTAGGAAAAGGTGAAATCTCGGCCATGCAAAACTAGTAATTAAAAAAATAAAAAGGAGATCTTGCACTGAAACGCACTGAAGAAGCGACACCTTGTGCTGAAGTGATATACTTCGTCTGTGATAAAGTCGAGGGCAAAAATAACTTTGAGAACAAGGATGGCATGAGAGTTTTTGTGAAGCCTCTCTCTACCAACAAGCATCACATCTCTTTTATAACTTTACCTTTTATTCTGTTTTCTTCTCCTTTCTGTTTCTTATTCCCTCTTCCTCTTCTTTAGCATTTTCCTTTCTACAACTTTCTGGCTTTCCTTCCTCTCTGTGAGTCAGCCTTGTCAAGTGACCTGAGGCACCAGACACAATGTAGCTTAGTTGGAGATAATCACACTAAAGTAACCACTGATCCATCCCTGAAATTGTGCATGACCCTTGGCAAACCTAATATGTGTGACTAAATGCATGACGGTAAACATGTGCAGACACGTTCACTGAGTCTTCTAGAAATGTTTGAATACTCTGTGCCCCATTTCAGGTTCATTTTCAGATGAAAAACGAGTGTCCCTGATTTCTGAATCAGTGCCCTTGCTGGAGCTGAGATCTCACTGGATATCCTGGTGTAAGAGCCTCACATTTCTGAATCAGGATTGTTGAGTTCTCCTATTTCTCTTTCTAACACTGTCTCCCTTAACCTTGGAGAAGTTTGTCTGTGGGCTCCAATTTTCTCATGTAAATTAAGGGAGTTGACAAGGAAGGAAAATAAGTTTCACCTTTTTAAGCAATCCCCACTGATTGGAAGACGTTGTTTGAGTCACTGTATTCTGAGTATCCTGGTTCAGTATGGTCACTGTCCTCTATCATGATTGCATTATAACACAACAGCTAGGTGCAGGGGTTAACAGCACTAGATTTGGAGTCAAACTTTTCTGGACCCAGTTATCAACTCTAACCATTATCATGCTACTTAACATCTCTAAGCCTGTAAAATAAGACGAATATTTCCTACATTACAGTTTTGCCATAAAGAATGCATTAGATAATTCATATAAAGTTCATAGCATAGCACCTTCACAGTGTAAGCCCACAGTATATATATATGTATATATAGCTAATTATCTTTATGGAAATCAGTTCACTTACAAGCAGAGGATTGTGGAGTGCTGCCTTGCCAGTACGATCTCTACACTGAATACTTTCTAAGGTGCTTTCCGTCTCTGGAGTTACACTTTCATGGGTACCAAAACAGCACAGATTGTGTGATTCAGCAAGTTTGATGGAATTTATGTTAAGAATCAGTGGGCTGTTGACAGCTTTCTTTAGTTAGCTATGTCAATTCAGTTTGTCATCCAACTTTTGGATTTCTTTTAACTAATTGTTTCTCCCCACACAGGAAACAATTAGAACCAGGAGGGACCATAAAAAAAAAAAAGGCGATTTTGTTCAACGAGCAGATTAACTTAACACAAAATTGATTTATATCAGCTTATTATAATTAACTGGTTATCTTTTTCTGTGTCTAATGAATCTAGTATTTTTATGGTTTTCAGTGAAGTTACCACTTCCATTTAAACATTTCTAACTCTCACTCTTCTGTGGATTCTGGTAAAATAATCATGTAACAATTTTTTTTTAATGAGTGCTTGTGTGTCAGGCATTTTCATAGCCATTAGAGATACAAAATCATATAAGGCATTGCTCTTGGAGCATCACTTCCCTTCCAAGAAAGTCAATATTAGGTGAAAGTGTCCATGCTCTCTCTTTGCCTAACATTGATACACTGGATGCTCCCAGTTGAAATGGTGGCATCCTGAGATGGTGAACCATCCATTTAGCTGTGAACTACCCTATCCACCCTGTCTTACTCCCTATTTGTGTTGAGCATGCAGAGTGAGCAAATTATAAGCCATAGTTGTAATATATCACTAAAATTTTTGATTTTGTTACTTCAGCATAGTATCAATTACATTTATCCTTTTTTATAGAAAGGCTTTCCACCACATAAGGATCATACTCTGTCCTATGCATATGAATTACCTTCTCTTCATTTAACCGAGCATTTGAGGTTGAAGAATATTTAAAACATCATTTATGTAACATGGGGCACAGGCTAAAACACCAAGAAAAATTTAGTCCAAATATCAAATTTGTTTCCATCTTATGTGTATTTTGTATACAACAGGGCTTTTTACATAATTATTCAGTTTACCTTCTAATGCTAGTGAATTTTGTGCACTATGTTTAGTGCATTTAATACAAAAGTGGGTGCATTTTGTGTTATGATAAATACATCCAATTCTTCAAATGCTTTCCAAAGAGAACATACTATTTTTACTTAGTCAGTTGTAGAGCTGAGTAATACCTGTGTTGATAATAGAGGACTTGGTTATGAGAAATTGACTTGGGAGTAGAACCAAGTATATAGATGATAACCAAATCCAAATCATTTCTCTATAGTATGTTATTACATGTGTACTTATAAGCTACTTTTCCAGTATTATTAAAATAGTGTAATTATTCCTTCATAATTAGAAAATTTCTGAGTATTCAGAAACCTTGATCACCCTTTTGCAAAGAAAGAACATAAATGTATAAATAATTTGTAAACAGTAATAAATTTATAGACATATCTATCATTTTTATATATTAACAAGTTAATAAGTTCATAGTCCATGTTGATTTCCATGTGCTTTTAATTGATAAAACTCATTATTTCTTTAAGTATCAGGTGGAGATGTTCTCCATGAAATTATACTACAGGCTGAAATGGAAACATTCAGTAACATACCTGTATATTTTGCTTTTCAATACCACCATATGATTATTTAGATATATCTGTGCAATTGGTAACATTCAAAGTTCTCACATTCAACTCATGAAGCTTATAATCTTGTTGTGCACACATAAAAGGAAACTAGAAAGCAATTCACAACCTTATGCCTTTATTAAAACTGTTATTGCCTTGTATTAAGGTAAACCTCTCTTTACAAGTCTATCTCCATAAACAGTGTATGAGCTCCTTGAATTTTGCCTCATATCACTTCCTGCCTGCACTCCTGTTTCCACCTCGCCCAGTGTGTTATCTCACCCTGCATCCAGTCATCTTCAACACTTCAGTGGTCTTCCGTTAACAACATATGTAATATCCAAGTTCCTAATCATACCATTCAAATTCCTCCAGGACCTGGTCCTTGGTACTCCCCTACTTTTCTTTCTCCAACCAAACACCTTATGTGAGGTTTATAAAAGTGTGGTCTACAAATTTATCTTATGGGATTCAGTTAAGATATTACTTCCTCAGAGAATCTTTTTACAACTCCCCTTGTCCCTTCTTCATGTTTTCCCAGTTGCTAACAACAATTCTTGGTTTGATAGTATGAGGAAATGAGCAGAATCATGCCTTATTTACCATTTGATAGCTGTAGCCTTTGAAAACAGACAGCCAATGTTGTATTGAAGACAGATCACACCAGCTTCTGAGAGCCAATTGTATTCGTATCTTCCTGATTCTTTACAGAGTGACATCATTTTGGTGGATTGAAAGAAGTCAGGGTGACTGAAAATGCCACGCAAATTGGTTACATGATACATATCACATTTTTTCTTTCCAGAAAGCTTGTCATTTCAAGATACCAACATACCGCTGCAAAATGTTTGACTACATCAGTAACGTGATAAATCGTGAAAATATGTCATTAATTCAAACAAATGAAATAGCTCAATTACATCAAAATTTGAAAATGAAATTATTATTTTCTTAATTAAAATATGATGCTTTCCAAGTCACAGTTTCACAAATGGTTGGAGGAAAATTTGTATATTTTTTCAGTAATAGTTGCCTAAGAATTTGAGTAATTTTGTGTATAACAACTATGGTAATTTTGTTAATTTAGTCATCTTGATAACTGTATCAGATTAGTTGTGCAGAAATCTCATAAATGTCAACATGTACTTTCGTGAGAGAAGGTTGTTATGACAAATGTGAAAATACATTCATTTAGTCCTACCAAAAAGCAGTCAGTCTGTACCCAACCACCTATTTTTGAAGTTTGCTCCAAAGAGAAGTTTCAAGCCAATAGCCCTTCTACCAGATAGCAGTTTGCATAGATCTTGAAGTACTCAAATCTCCAGCTGTGCTGCTATGAAAATACCAGACTGGGACTGCTCTGATCAGGAGTTTTAGAGAAAATAGTTTTCTCTCTATCAATTTCCATGATATATAAATAGTGTCATAACAGGATTCAGATAAAATGCTTGAATGCAAACTATCAAATATATAAGAATCCTTCTAGTGAAACTCAACTGTTAAATATTTGCTATGATGTAGTTTAATAATTCCCAAACATTAATTGATGTTGGCCGGTCGAGATGCATCAGAATCACCTGAACAGCTGGTTACAAATACATATTATTTATGTATCCCATAACGAGAAGGTATATATATATATATGTATATATATATATATATATATATATATATATACATATATATATATAAATAAAATTGTATTTTGACATGTTCTCTAGACGCTTCCAGTATATTGATTGAAAGCACTAGTGTAGTTTTTGACACAATGTCCTCTCCCACAAATATTTTGTTCTAGTTTTCAAGTTTGTCTTTCTTCTATTTTAAAACATATGCTCTCATATCCGAGTAATGACCATGAAGAGATGCCAGAATTCATCAGTAACATCAACAAATAGCAAAAACAATGTTTTCAGTATAGAATACAAAGTATTGTGCTTACACGTGAAAAATGAGCGGGGAAATTGAAGCAATTATCTCAATAATTTGGCTTGCCTTTCACTTGATAAAATGTTCTTTCTGATGACCTGTCCACATAATAGAGGGATGGGTGCTGTGATAATTGACTTCTCCAGGTAATTTCCTCAATTCTTCTTTTTGAATATACAAGTTATTCTTTAATAGAATAAACAAAATCTGAGGCATTGGCTTTTGGTCATTATTGCTCTACAAAAAGCTTTGCTTATTTCCATATGATAAAACTACCTCTTGATTGTTTAAAAGCTAGAGACAAACTAGAATGTATTGACAGAATGGCAACTTAGTCTCTCAAAATATATGTGAGTACATAAACAAAAGTAAACCTGCTTTGTTAATTGATAGATTCATTTTCATATATACCCTTCTTTTCCTGAAAAAGATTTTACTTACCTCCGTTGAGTTTGCCTTTGTATTCACCTCAAAGACTGCATGGAGACTTTAAGGACAGCAGATGGACAGCATCACAGCTATAAGCCAATACTCTGCTCATCTTAGTAATGTATCATTCATTTAGAAAATACACACTTGTTTTAGAAACACAGGGTGTGTTTTCTTTAGTATCCATGAGTACATAACCATTCTCACTTTTCTATTTGGTTACACATTTTTTTAATGGAAAGCCAGAGGTTTCTGTGTTCCAAAACCATAGAATTGTTACATTACTCTGTTGTTGAATGCCTCTGAATGTCATTATAACAACATGTAATTTTCGTCTTAATTCATAAAACATTTTAAAAATTTATGCTAACACTTGGAAACCTGGGGAGTACCCTACTTCTGAAAACAAAAATAGTAACACTTAACAATACTACCAGTACTTAATACAGGGATTGCTTTGACTGTGTGTGTGGGGGAGGTTGAAGGTTGGATCTGCGTTATTGACTTTATCATCTTGGTTCTAATGTCTTGTCCAGAACCACTCATTTAATTACTATTTTGAAACACTCATAACACAACATGGCTATAACTGTACATCTGTTGGGCTTTACTTGAAATTATTATGAAGACCAGTTATAATACATGATCTGGTCTTCTTTTCTAAGTGGTGTCATTAATCCAAATTAAAATGCTTAGTTAATGTACTTTCTGCCATACATGGGAATTAATATATCTTTTATTGACAGTGTAGATGATTTGGGATGATAGGATCAGGGTAGATTACATTATATTTATTTTCACAAAACTAAAAGGTTAAAATAATATTACAAATACGTTGGAGCTTAAAGCGTCTCTATTAGACAGTCATATCAATACACGACATTAGAATGGAAAGAGCCCCAATGCAGAAGTTAAGAGCCTTGAGTTCTAATTTAGATTCAGTTACTATCAAGCTGTGTGACTTTGGAGAATTTACTTAACCCCTCTGGACATCAGTTTTCTTGATTATGATATAAGGATATTGAATTGGATATTCTCTAGAATCTTATCAAACTCTAGTGATTTCTATGGGAGAAAGTGAAATCACCAGCATGACAGTTTGAGGCCACAGAGGGCTAGAAACATGACAGCAAATATTTTCACAGGTTTATGTTAAAACATGCTGGAAATAATTGTTGAACAGGACATTATAGTGTTAGCTGTGTTCTACAGTTTCAACTGACAAAGCCCTTAGAATAAGAGCAAATGTATCTAGAAAGAAAAAACATAAAAGCAGAATTAGTTGAAAAATACTTATTTTAAGTTGATTAGGCACAAAAATACCACTGCAATCCAATTTGGATTTAGTTTACTAAAATAATTGTAATGTGATTCAGTCTAAAGTGGTGGCTCTTGCTGGACAAAGTCAAAGGTTAAAAAAAATGATACGACTTTAAAATAGGTCAAGAACTATGAAATGTATGGTTCTCATCTTAGACTGTGAAAGTGTGAAAAATGAGTCGGAATATAAATACAGAAAATGCGTATATAATTTGAAGGAGAGACTCAGCTGAGAAACATGAGATGTAGATTCAGAATGTAGCTCATCTTTGAGATTTAAATACTCACAATAAATTTCCACTAATTGGGAATAATACAATGGAGAAGCATTTAATACAAAGAGTCCTTTTAGAAAAATAAATACTTAGGCAGTGCTACAGAATGACTTCCATTCAGCACAAACGCATACAATAATTCATCAGTTCGCTTCCCTTCATAGATGGATCATCTTTCTGCTAGGTGAGATTGGTTAGAGCGGGAGAAACCTAATTCATTCAAAATGTCACTGGCCAGGTTAAAGACCTTCATACATTTATTCTGTCAGAGAAAACTGCTGGTGAATAAATGAAAGATAGGGAGTAAGCAGAGTAAAAATAACGAAAAAAATAAAGCATAATAAAACAAGTTTGTAATTTATAGCTGTATACAAATAAAAGATATTATTTTCCCTGCGATAGTTTGCTGAGAATGATGGTTTCCAGCTTCATCCATGTCCCTACAAAGGACATGAACTCATCATTTTTTATGGCTGCATAGTATTCCATGGTGTATATGTGCCACATTTTCTTAATCCAGTCTATCATTGATGGACATTTGGGTTGGTTCCAAGTCTTCGCTATTGTGAATGGGGCCGCAATAAACATACATGTGCATGTGTTTTTATAGCAGCATGATTTAATAGCATTAGGAGATATATCTAATGTTAAATGACAAGTACATGCGTGCAGCACACCAACATGGCACATGTATACATATGTAACAAACCTGCACATTGAGCACATGTACCCTAAAACTTAAAGTATAATAAAAATAAATAAATAAATAAAGACGTTATTTAAAAAGACCTTCATAGATCCCTTTGATAAGAAGATCCACCCTAATTTCAGGAAACGAAAAATTGTGAATCTCAGAAATAAAGTGACTGGCTTACTTGTTTTCCCCTCTTCCCAAGCTCATAGATTCTATTCAATGTTTTCATTTTATTGAATTATTTTTGATGAGATACGGGTCAGTCTTGACACTCTGGATGTGATTGAGCCCGAACTCACCAGAGTCTAAATGATATTGATCTTTGAACCACATTATTCTACCTTTAAATAATTTTTATCACCGTTTTTAGCCACCATCTTTGATGGTTTATGGTAGATTGGAATTGAAAACCTTCCTCTGCCACTAAATAGTCTTATGACCTTGGAAGATCGCTGTCCTAGGTCCTCAGTTCCCTCAAGTATAAAATGAACATTCATAAGATGCCGTTCAGATGCACAGCTCAATGGATTTTATCTCCTCTCATGTGGATCAGCTGTAGGCTTTTTTCTGTGTATTTACACTTCTGTAATCCTTTAGAGGATCCAGTATGGATTTATTCATGAGCAACATCCCAAAAGAAGCATGGTGTTCTAAATGAAAAAAAAAAAATCCAGCTATTCAAATTATCCACTATTTAATCATTTTCTCATTTAATAAACATTTACTGAGGCCCTACTAATTGTCATTGAGATAGTAGGTTTCAAGTCTAATGTAGGAACAAATAAGAAAATAAACAATTATAATAAAACATGACAAGGGCATGGTAGAGATACAGATCCTGAAGAACAGGTACTGCAGGAGCATAGAAATGAAGAAGCCAGACAATTTGGAAGTTTTCCAATTAGATACAATTTAAGGCTTTTTTTAAATAACCTATATCAATAATATATAAATTTCCATTTTAAAAAATCCGCAACCAACTGGATGAAGGGTGACTTTTATAGACTTATTTAAATGGAAAATTACATACACACATACACAAAAACACACACATTAATGTGGTAAGGCTACTGTGAATATTCAGCAACGTAACTGGAATCAATATATCATATATCTTTGAAAGTATCAATCATAAACAAACCAGAATGCACTAACCAGAAGCAATGACAAGAGGAGAGAAAAGAGAGCATGGCTGCACTATCTCAGAACCACGCTGAATATGCACTTTGAAAGGTATACTGATAATTCATTAAAACCACAAAGAGAATCTTACATTACGTTTGCTGGATTTGACTACCTTGCCTCATGATGTGACTAATTACCTGTCAAATTCAAATCTAAAATTATAAAAGACAAATTATAGAGTACCTCTAAAGAAAAAAATGTGGGGAAATTTCCACAGATCTTCCCCCACCCTCATTTGAATAACTAATAAACAAACACATTTGTAGATCAAGTTAAAGAAAGGAATGAGAACTGAATCTTTCAACAATTTCTACAGAAGTGAATGGAATGAAGAACTGAGATAATTAAGTAAACAATCTGGGAATAGAGACCTAGAAAGGCAGAATGAGTTTGGGTCTAGGTCACCTGGATGAGTGATCTATGTAATCACACTGCTTCAACAAATGCTCAGTTTTCTATTTTACTTTCCAGTTAATTTCATAGTCCAAAAATATAACCAAGACAGGGTCCTCATCATAAAAGTAAAGTGTTATATTAAAACAATTTATTCAGATGCTTTCAGGTCACAGTGACTATCCGGGACATCTTTAGACAAAAAATATTTTGTTTCCTTTACTTTCGTTAAAACATAGTTGTAATGTGTAGCTGATTCCTCTGATTCTCCACATCACGTCTGCTCAGCCCACATCTTATTTCACCTGCAGCTTCAGTGGACAATTTCATGTGAGCTCAGACTCACCTCATGCTGGCAGCACCTCACCTCAAAAGTTTGCCACAACATCTCTCTGCTTTCTTCCCAGGGCCTTCTCCAATAGCACAGGAATAAGAACATTCTTTCCACATATCAGAAATGGGAGATGATTAGCCTGAAGAGTAATTTTTAACCAGTGAGGGACAAGAGATGTTATATAGCCTCTGTTCATCAGGTGGAAAATTCTGGCAGTCATTCTGTGCACTTTTCAGGAAGTCTCAACACAATTGAGCCCCTATTGCCCACAGTGAAGGTCTCAGTTATATACCTTAGATTGGCATATTTGTTTTTCCACCTTCCTATCTTCCTCTCTCTGCTCCCTTACTCCTGCTCCTGGTGACTCCCAGATAAACTACCTGCACTTTGGTCTTTATCTTGGGCTCAGCATTCAGCAGAATTTAAGCTAAGATGGTGTGATAAATTGTTTTGTGTTCATCAGAATTTCTTCTTCCTGAGTTTAAATGAAAACAATATTTCTCAGTCTCCTGGAAGTAATGGTAAGGTACCTGTGACAGATTTCTGACTAGTGGAATGTCAACAGAAGTAACCTAAGCTGTTTTTATAAACCTCAAAGTATAAGGAGAGCAAGTTCAACATTGAAGGTCACTCACCATTCCTGTAGCACCCTGCTTTTCTCAACACTAGCTCGAGCACTTAGTATACTCTACAGAAATTGTTGCTTTGTTTATCTTTCCCCTTACTCAAACATCACTAGATTGTTAGATTTTCACACAGAGCCTGTCACAGAGGAAATTTTTAGTAAATGTTTTTGAATGCATAAATAAAGCCTAATGTCTGAGCAAAAGCTCACCAAAAATCTTAAGTCACTAAGAAGTTGCAAAAATTAAATCCCCTTACTTTACCCTATATCCATTCTCTTGATTATTTAGCCTTTCTCTATAAGCCTTTCTTATCAACAAGTATTTTTGCTCAAGTCTTTTTCCAAAACCAAACCAAACAAAAACCTTCCTGGATTCTTTTTTATAGCATCCAGGTTACAGGTTATCCTTCTTAGTCAATTTCACAGCCAGATGTCTTTAATGAGCTGTCTAAATTCAACATCTATGCCTCCTCACTTCCTACTCACTCTTCAACTTACTTCATTTTGGCTTCTGTCTGCACAAGTCTGTTGAAACTCATAAATGTCACTGAAGAATTCTATGACTCTGAAGTGAAAGAATATTGTACAATCTTCATCTTGACTTCTTAGCAGCAGCCTTCACAGTTGGCTATTCCCTTCTCCTCAAAACAGTGTTTTAACTTGATTCCTGTGATATCGCACTCATTTAAATTTCCTCCTTTCTAGTTGCCTTTTTCAGTCTGTTTTGGGGGCTCATCTTCCTCTCTATGTTCCTTGAAATAAGTATTTCTCTAGACTTTTTCATTTTCTCTTGGCACACTAGTATTATATGGCCTCACCTGTCATTTGTGCACTGATTATTCCCAAATTCATAACCATATTTCTGATTGCTCTACCCATTTACAGATATCTATTATCGTTCCATCTGCTGGATATATATATAGATAGATAGATAGATATAGATATAGATATAGATATAGATATAGATATAGATATAGATATAGATAGATATAGATATAGATATAGATTTTTTTTTTTTGAGAGAGAGAATCTTGCTCTGTCGCCAGGCTGGAGTGCAGTGGTGCGATCTCGGCTCACTGCAACCTCCACCTCCCGGGTTCAGGAGATTCTCCTGCCTCAGCCTCCCAAGTAGCTGGGACTACAGGCATGAGCCACCACGCCCAGTTACTTTTTGTATTTTTAGTAGAGACAGGGTTTCATCATGTTGGCCAGGATGATCTTGATATCTTGACGTCGTGATCCGGCTGCCTCGGCCTCCCAAAGTGCTGGGATTACAGGCATGAGCCACTGCACCCAGCCTGATATATAGTTTTAAATATTCCACAAACACTTCATGTGAACATATCAAAAAATGAACCCATTGTTTGTGCACTCAGACCTTAATCTACCACTCCATCTGAGTCTCCTGTCTCAGCAGATGGCAGATGAATGCCTAGTAAACAAAAGTAGAAAACTGATAAAACCCTATCCCTTTCTCTTCCAGTATCATAGGATCACTACATACTATCAATGCTGTTCCCTAGGTGTCTCTCAAAATCTATCTTTTCTTCACGTTCCCAGCAGACATCTCCTCATATTAGGTCATTATCATCTCTTACAAAGAATTCCATAATATTATACCTGGCTACTATGCCTACCTCTCATTATATTTCACTTATCTCTTCATAAGTCTGCCTTCTCCACTAGACTGAGTGCTCTTAGATAACAAATAATTTCCTTATGCATTTTTACAATTTAGAACTTGTTACAATAGGCACTTGAAACATGTTAGTTGAATAGATGAATAAAATAATGAATGGATTAAGGCTACTCTGTATTTTTCTCTAATTATTACATGTATGTATATATACTGCTTCTTTATATTCTTAGCAGCCTTATGTTCTTGAAGTTTCAAGATCTGAAAAATTTTGCCCTAGGGATTACTATCCAAAAATAGATAAGGAAGTTATACAACCTAATACCAAATAGATAAACAAATGATCTTGTCTAAAAATAAGCAAAGAGCCCAAATAGATATGTTTCCAAAAAGACATGCATAAGACCAATAGGTATATGAAAAGATGTTCAACATCACTAATCATCATGGAAATGAAAATCAAAACCACCTCACACCTGTAAGGAGGACTATATGAAAAAGACAAGAGATAAAAAGTGTTTGTGAGGGTATAAAGGGAACTTTTGCACACTGTTGGTGGGAATGTAAATTGGTATAGCTGTTACGGAAAACAGTATGACGATTACTCAAAAAATTAAAAATATAACTACCATATTATCTAGAAATCACACTTACGGGTATATATATGAAAGAAAGGAAATCAGTATATTGAAGACATATCTGCATTCCCATGTTTATTGTAGCATTATTCACACTAGCCAAGATAGAAAAACAAACTGAATGTCCATCCATGGATAAATGGACAGAGGAAATGTGGTATATCTACACAGTGAAATATCATTCAGCTATGAAAAAGAATGAAATCCTGCCTTTTGCATCAACATGGATGAATCTTGAGAGCATTATTGTAAGTGAAATAAATCAGATAGAGAATGACAAATACTATGTGACCTTATATGTAGAAACTAAAAATGTCAAACTCATGAAAACAGAGAGTAGAATGGTGGTTCGCAGGGGATATGGGTTGGGGGAACAGGGAGAAAGTTTGGTCAACATGTACAAACTTTCAAATGTGAGATGAATGAGTTCTGGGGGTCTAATTTATAGCATGGTTACTATAGTCAATAATACTGCATTATATACTTGAGATTTGTCTAGAGAGTCGACACTAAATGTTTTCACCACACACACACACACACACACACACAAAATGGTAAGTATGTGAGGCAATGGATGTGTTAGCTAACTTGATTGTGGTAATCATTTCACAATATATACATATATATAATCATCATCGTTTATGTCTTAAAGAGATACCAATTTTGTCAACCACTGCTCAATAAAGCTAGCGAAAAAATTTGTCTGCAACACACAAAATGACCTACATAATTTCTTGAGAACTGATGAATAATCTGGGCTTTCAAAATATCTTTTTAAAGACAATCACATCATCCCATTTTAAAAAAATCTATTGGTTCAAATAAACATAAATTTTAAGAAACCAAATATATTTCAGCTACCTTGAGAGTATGGGATCAGCCAGCTAGAAAAAAGAAAAATGATGAGTTAATTCTGTCAAACAACTTGAGAGTTTTTTGTTTTCTTTTAACAAAATATGCTAATTTGTTCAAATAAACCAGTTATGTTGGTACTGTCTAGCACAATATATTTGCTAGATGTCTAGTTCTTTTTTATTATTTTCCAATACTTCCGAAGTTTTGCCTTGCTTGCATGTAATCAATACATTATGAAGGTATTTTTTATTAAAGTCACTCAAGTCTTAATTATTTAATTTTATAATAATTTAATACATCGTGGACTTAACTCTCTTTTTAGGCTCTGTATGCAGAAAAATGCAATCTTATTTATAATGTTAAAGAAAAATATTAAGTGATAGTAAACTGCTTAGAGGAATAAATGCTTCCAAGGACTTTAGCAAAATCAACTTGAATACAAACAATGAGTCAGTTACAAATTATTATTATATATTAATTAAAATGAAACTCATTAAATGTTCTGTTAAACTATGCTTTACTATTATTTAAATTAATTACAGCAAGAAATTTATATAAACAAATTCTAAATACTGAAGACTTTTCACCAATTTAGACTGTCTCTCTAATGGGTCTGATTTAACAATGCTTTATTGTGTTTGAAAAAAATACTTTGAAAAAAAAAGGCACTCTTTATTCTGTGCACTACAGATTTTTATCTTCAGAACAGTTGGATTTTCTATATATAGATATGTGTATACATTTACTTCTATGGAAATACTCAGGCATTTCTACTTAACCTATTTTCAGTTTAGTCTGCATCATATATACCAGAGAGACAAACATTTGACCTCTTGTTCATAGGACTATTTTTATTAATAAGAAGTAACTGATTTAAATGAAATTTTCCCTTGTCTTCAGGTAACTTGCAAACATATTTCTTCCTCACAGTTAAATAAAAGAGACAATGAATGTGCCCTGGACACTTAAAGTATTTGGTTATTCTAAAGTAAGGTGACACTCTTAAAATTTAGATGACTCTTTCTCTATAGTAAGACTTTCATTCTAATAGGTTCAGATCTGATAACATTTGTACATGGATTCACATAAAAATCATTATTAAATATCAACTATATTGAGTAGTTTTGAACATTGTCTACAAGCCACATCTGCATAGTCTGGGGATTGTAGACTTTCTGCCAATAGTTGCTATTTAATTTGACCTTGGAAGAGTTCCAGCACATTAAGCATGACATTTATTTAAGTGTTAAATTTATACTATGCTTTTCTGATCAAAAGTTCAAGGAACCAAGTGCAGTGACATGATTTGCTATTATAAAACTAGTCTCATTAAAATTGTGATAACATGATACACATTTTTTTTTCTGTAGTGTCTTTGTCTGGCTTCGGCGTCATGGCAATGCCAGCCTCCTAAAATGAGTTTGCAAAAATTACTTCTACTTCAATTTTGGGGGAAGAGTTTGAGAATAATTGATGTTAGTTCTTCTTTAAATGGTTGGTAGAATCCAGCAATGAAGCTGTGTAGTACTGTGCTTCTTTGGTAGGAGATTTTTATGGCTGATTCAATCTCCTTACTCATTATTGGTTTATTCAGATTTTTTTTATTTCTCCATAATTCAGTCTTTGAAGTGTTATGGGTCTAGGAATTTATCGATTTCTTCAAGGTTATTCAATTTGTTGGTATATAATTGTTAGTATTAGTTTCTTATGATCCTTTGTATTTCAGTGGCATCAGTTGTAATGTCTCCACTTACATTTCTAATCATGTTTATTTGGATAGTCTCTGTTTCTCCTAGTCTAGATGAAGGTTTATACAAACCTTTATCTTTTATCTTTTTACCTTCCCCAAAAAAACTAACAGTTTTGTTGTTTTTTTCTATTGTTTTTCTAGTCTCTACTGTCTGCTCTGATCTTTGTAAATTGCTTCCTTCTGCTAACACTAGGCTTAATTTAGTCTCTTTTCCAACTCTTTGAGGTGTAACATTAGATTACTTATGATCTTTATTTGTTAATACAGGCTTTTATCACTATAAATTTCCCTCTTAAGATAGCTTTAGCTTTTGCTGTATCCCATAGTTACGGTGCAATGTGTTTCCATTTTCATGTTTCACAGAATTGTCTAGTTTCCATTTTCATTTTGTCTGTGACCTATTGATTGTGTAGGAACATGTCGTTCAATTTGCCATATTTTTCTATTTTCCAATATTTCTTCTGGTTTTGAGTTCTAGTTTCATTTCATTGTGATCTGAAAAGATACTTGATGTGATTTCCATCTTTAAATTTTTTAATATTTGTTTTGTTGCCTAACATATAATTTACCCTGGAGAATATCCAATGAGCACTTCAGAATAATATGTATTCTGCTACTGTTGGATGGAATGTTCTATATGTGTCTGTTAGGTCCATTTTGTCTAACATATAACTCAAGACAAATGTTTAATTATTACTTTTCTGTCTAGATGACCTAAAAGTGGGGTATTGTAGTCTCCTACCGTTATAGTATTGCAGGCTATCTCTCCTTTCTGATCATTTAATAACTGCTATATGTATTTAGGTGATCCAATATTCGATGTAGATATACTTACAATTGCTATGTACTCTTGATGAATTAGCCGCTTTATCATTACATAATGACCTTCTTTGTCTCTTTTTATAGTTTTCAACTTAAAGTCTATTTTGTCTGATATAAACATAGTGACTCTTTTCTGGTTTCTATTTGCATGGAATATATCAATCCCTTTAATTTCAGTCTATGTGTGTTCTACTACAAAGGTAAATAAGCAGAATATGGTTGGATCTAGTTTTTCAAAAAATTTATTCAGGCACTTTTATGTCTTCTTTTGCCTTTTGTAAAATGCCAAAGTCATGTTCTCTTTTATTTTATTCTTTTTTTAAATTTTATGTTAAGTTCTGTGTTCATGTGCACAACGTGCAGGTTACACAGGTAAACATGTGTCATGGTGGTTTGCTGCACCTATCAACCCATCACCTAGGTATTCAGACCCACATGCATTAGCTATTTATCCTGATGCTCTCCCTCTTGCCACCCCTCCAACAGGCCCCACTGTGTGTTGTTTCCCTTCCTGTGTCCATGTGTTCTCAGTTCAGCTCCCACTTATAGGTGAGAACATGTGGTGTTTGGTTTTCTGTTCCTGTGTTAGTTTGCTGATGATAATGGCTTCCAGCTCTCCCCATCCTCCTGCAAAGGAAATGATATTATTCCTTTTTATGGCTGCATAGTATTCCATGGTGTATATGTACCACATTTTCTTTATCCAGTCTATCATTCATGGACATTTGTGTTTATTCCGTGTCTTTGCTATTGTGAATAGTGCTGCAATGAACATAAGTGTGCATGTATCTTTAGATCAGAATGACTTATATTCCTTTGGGTATATACACAGTAGTGGGATTGCTGGGTCAAATGGTATTTCTGGTCCTATGTCTTTTTATAGGCAAATGTAATTCATTTGCATTCAAGGTAATTATTGTTAGGTGAGGACTTGCTACAGAAATTTTATAATTTGTTTTCTGATTGTTTTGTAGGTCACTTATTTCTTTCTTCCTCTCTTGCTCTCTTCCCTGTGGCTTAATAAATTTCTGTATTCTTTGAATGCTTTCTTTTTGTATTTTGTGCAACTACTATAGGTTTTTCCTTTGTAGTTACCATAAGGCTTACATAAAATATATTTTTAACGTTTAAGTTCAGGGCTACATGATCAGGTTTGTGTCATGGGGTTTGTTGTTCAGATTATTTTATCACTGGTATTAAGCCTAGTACCCATTAGTTATATTTCCTGATCCTCTCCCTCCTCCTACCCTCCACCCTACGAAAGACCCTGTGTGTATTCTTGCACTCTATGTGTTCATGTGTTTATAACAGGCTACTTTAAGCTGATAATAACTTTCCTTTAATTGCACACAAAACTTCACATTTTCACTACCTCTCTAACCTTTTATAACATGATGTCAACATTTACACTTACTTTTGTAATTTGTATGTCTTAACAATTTACTGTAGCTATAGTAGTTACTTTTAGGTTTTTCTTTTAATCCTCCTAGTAGGGATAAAATTGCTTTTAGAATTAGAGAATTTTGAGTGTAACTATGTATTACTTACATCAATGAATTTTTTCAAATGCTTTTGTCACTAATTAGCAGCCTTTCATTTAGATTAAATAACTCCCTTTAGTAATTTTAATCAAGGGGGCCTACTGGTGACAAACTTTCTTCACTTTTGTTTGTCTGGGAAAGTTTTAATTTTATCCTCATTTCTGAATGACAGCTGTGTCTGCAAAGTATTCCTGGTGGGCAGTTCCTTCTTTTGTTCCCTTCAGCACTTTGGATATATCGCTCTACTAACTCCTGGGAATTATCTGCTGATAAATTCCCTGAAAGTTTTATTGGGGTTACTTTAAATGTGATGTGTTTTTTATCTGCTGCTAATTTCAGTGTTCTTCACCTTTGATTTTTGGTAATTTGATTATAATGCCACTTGGTGCATCTTTTGGGCTAAATTTGATTGGTGACATCTGAGCTTCCTGTACCTGGATGCTGTCATCATTCCCCAGATTTGGGAAATTTTCAGCCATTATATACTTAAATATCCTTTCTAGGCCTTTTCTTCTCCTTCAATACCTCTTATTATGCAAAAGGCAGTTCAACTGATAGTATCTCATAATTCCCATAGGCTTTCTTTATTATTATATTGTGTTTCTCCTCTGATTGAATAATTTCAGATGTTCTGTTTTCAAGCTCATTGATTCTTCTTCTGTTTGATCAAGTCTGCTGTTCAAGCTTTCTATTGATATTTTTTTAGTTCAGCTACTGTATTCGTTATCGTTAGGATTTCTATTTGTATTTTTTATTGTTTCTAATATGTTGCCAAACTTTTCATTTTGTTCATGAATTGTTTTCCAAATTTTTTTTTAGTTTTCTACCATTACTTTTTATAGTTCCATGAACTTCCTTAAGATTATTCTGAATTCTTCGTCAATCATCTAATAAATCTTCATTGCTCCTGGGTCCATTTTTAGAGCTTTATTAATTTGTTTTGGTGGTGTGATATTTCCCTGATTTTTCATTATTATTGTGTCCTTATGTTGAAGCCTGCACATTTGAGAAAACGGCTGACTCTTCCAGCCTTTGCGGGTGCCCGTTGGTGGTGATAGATATTTACTATTTAGTCTGTCCTGGGTTTCTGTATGAGTTGGCAGTAATGCCTAACAGGCAGACCTTCGTGTCAGATTCTCTAGATGGGCTGGACCACCTCCTATGGTCTGAGGTTGAATGGTAATGCTGGCTGTATTCCATGGTCTGGTGAAATCAGTGACTATACTCTGCCACCAAATGATGTTATTGCCAGTGATCTGTAATTTTCTCTGATCAGGTAAGGTTGAAGGCCGTCATCCCTGGCTCAATGGTACTGTTATTTGGAATCTGTAGCTGAGCAGGTATGTGTGGTGGACTTCAAGACTGGTTGAAGTCTTTGGGGTTACTACTCAGCCACATGGGGTGGGAAAACCCAGAGGCTGTGGTCCGTGGATATGTTTAGACTTGGGCTTGCCTCCTGGCCTAGGGTAGGCTTCAGTATAGCACTGAAATTTGGTGAAGTCACCACTCTGCAGCTGGGGTTGGGTGAAGCCAGATGCTTTCTCTGTGGGTGATTGCTGACCTTCAGTTGCTTCCCAGTCTGAAAAAGATTGAATGTAAGCATTGGAACTTGGTTGGATTACCTATTCACTGCTAAGATTAAACATGGTCGCATGCTCACCGCACATGTAATCACTGACCTGCAAATGCTTTCTAACCTGGGGAAGAATTAACATGAGCCTCGGAGCTTAGATTACCTCTTCACTACTAGGGTTGAGTGGGGTCCAGATGCTCCCTCTATGGGTAATCGCCAACGTACACTTGCCTCTCAACCTGAGGAATACTTATCAAGAGCACCTAGGTTGTGTGGAGAACCTCGCTAGGGATTCAAACCTGTAAGACCAATGGACCACGTTTCCAGCAGCATGATGCTGTTGGTTAGCTTCTCTAGTGTGGTGCTTTTCTTGGCCAGAAGGCATAGCAATCATCTGGATCCACACACTGGTAACTGTGTGTCTCACCGGCATTCTTTATTTCTAACTGAACCCGGGTGATCTAGCACTGCTGGTACTCCTAATGTTGCTTGTGGGTTGAGACATGAGTGACCCTCCTTTGAAGGGCCTCAGCATGGTAGCGAAGCTTCATGGGCACCTCCAACTCACTTTTCCCACTGTAGAAACCATAGGACCAGGCAAGTTCTTTTTGTGTGGTGCTGTGCTAGCTAGGAAGAGGGGCAGTCTGATCAAAAATAACTATTTCTCTTATAATTTCATTGTGGCTTTTCTCAGTTTTGCATCCAAGTGGCTCAGTCTCATTGCCACATTCTGGGATATTTGGGATGGGATTCTTGCCTGTGGGTAGTTGATAGTTGAATTTCTGTGCTGGGGAGTAAAGCGCAAGAACTCCTATTTTTCCAATTTTCTGACATTACTGATCTTATTTTGCTTTTCCTTTAATTTTATATACATTGAATAATACATTATGTAGTCTTTTTAACTTCTTTCATGTAGCATAATTTTTATAAGATATATTTATGTTGTTGAGTTCACCAGTCATTTATCACTTTCAATATAGAGTATTTTTGCATTGTATGAATGAATATACCACATTTTGCTTATCCTTTCCCCAACTGATGAAAATGGCCTCTTCCAGTTTTTGGTGATTATGAATACATTCACTCCCACCATTCATATAGAGGTTTTTGTGTAAATACAAATTTTAATTTTCTTTACCAGGGAGTGGAATTGCTGTTGGGCCATGTGTTAAGACTATATTTAACTTTATAAGAAAATGCAAAACTGTGTTCTAAAGTGGTTGTCCATTCTGCATCCCCACCAGCAATCTATGAGAGATCTCTTCACTTTGCATCCATACAAGCATTTGTTATTGCCAGGTCTTTTATTTGTAACCATTCTAGTACATATTGCTGATATATAATTGAGGTTGTTTTAATTTGTATTTCCTTAATTAGGTAGTAGTATTTTTGCCCAGAAATGTGTATTCCATTTCTTTTGTCAGGCTGTTGTTAATACATGGTGTTGAGTCAATCTAGTCAGTAGCTGAGCTCAAAATGCTTGAAGGATTTTCTTGGTATTCCTGTTCCACCCTCAGCTTTTGGCAAGCCTCGTATGCCTGTGCAACAGAGTGTTCTCTCTCCGCATGCTTGCATTGTCTCAGCAGTAGACTGCTTTTCCTTGTTACTCAGTAAGAGGCTTGTGCTGTTGGCAGGGGAGGTCCTCATTCTTCAATTGCATCCTCAGTTTTTAACACTGTGCACATGAGCCTCAGAGATGGGGATTTCATAGTGCTCCTGCCTTCTTTACTGGTGACAGTCAATCTCTATCTTTCTGTCATATCAGTCAGTGTATTGGATGGAAGAAAGTTTTCTGCCCCTTTTCCAGTGGTAGCTAATCTCCTAGGATTGAGAATGTTTTCTACTCTTTTCCCAAAGGCAGATGAAACTTGTGTCTACCTTTCTTCCAGAAATCACAGGACTTTGTCCTGGGACAGTAGGATTTCCTCCCCTTCTTCCTGTAGCAGGTGGCTTATGATTGGGATGTGAACAAAGTCCAGGAAAGTAGGCAAGATTTTCTGCCTCTCTCCCAGTGGCAGCTTATCACCACCTATTTGCCTGCAACACAGATAAAGGGCATCCTGTTAGGTCTTACTGCTTTCAACTTTTCTTATGAGCAGCTAGTGAAGGCCCAGGAAAAAACATATTATGAGTGAGGACAGACTCTCATTTTGTCTGAGTCTTTCAAGTGCTCTAGATTAATTAGTAGCCCACAGTAGATTTTTAAGAATCAATTAAAATTCAAGTTATTTTCTATTTACCTGCTTTTTGTGGGCCACCCCTTTCTCCCATGCTCTCTAAAAGATAAAATAGTGTATGTTCTTTGCCTCTCTTCAAAGGCAAAGGGGCTTGTCATTCTTTGGAATTTAGTTCATCTGGTTGCTTTGAAACCTTTGCAAACGGAGCAACTCAGAAATAGTTATGGTTTTGTAAATTAGCTGTTTTTTTATTATTGTTAGGATAGAAGCAACACACTCTTGCAGCTTTCTACATCCTAAGTGGAAATATAACTTCTTTCAATCCATGCTTTTTGTATTTGGTCACTCAGCTCGCACTATATTTCTTGGGACAGACCATGCTACCTTGCAGGTCACTGCTATGGCTACTGTCATGCTGGGCAAAAGACACTCTATAGCCGTCTCAAGTCCTCAATATACTACTGGCTCTTGCTCCTAACTGAACATGTTAACTCTGAGAAGTTTATGAGAACTCTGATGTAAATGGGACTTAATATGGACCTTGAAAGTAAGAAAGAATGGGGATATACTGTCCAAAGGGTATATGTAATGAAAAAAAAGGTAAGCTTTCTTCTCACTTTTTCATCCTCTTTATATCTGAGACATGTCAGCATTGATCCAACTATGGCATAACCTTTTTAGGGCACTTCCATCTGATGAGGAGCACTCCTCTCTCCACATGGTCTTTTTCCATTTTATGGCTATGTCTTCATCCAAAATAACTGGCAGTGTAACAACTCCTGTGAGGTAATTTGCATGTGTCCGGAAGGAAACATTGCCAGAGAATCGCCCTCTGGCAAAGCCTTGGGTTATACAAATCATAGATTTATAGCCTGCCAAATATCAACAGGCTTTAGCAGTGGGCTTGAAAAGATGGTGTTTTCCTGTGATTTCCAGCCCATGATTTGTACTAGTCTAAAAACCCATTCCACTTTGAATAAATCCTCCTCTCCCAGTTGAGCTAATTGATACCTGATGATTCTCCAATTATAAAGTGCATTCCTTTGTCTTCTATGAACACATAGACATGTCTAGAAAAACTGATTTCTTAGGCCTTATCAATTGAAAACATCTCAATGTGAATGAGTATATCATGACCCTTCCTGAGATTCAGGTAAGAGAGAAGAGGTGCAGAATAAAACATGTGCTTACTGGCATTCTATTTGGGTGGGGTATGGGCAGACCTTATGAACATAGAATAAAGAAAGGAGAACAGAAAGAAGAAAATAAACTCATTGAATATGCATTTCTTGTATTTGACCATATGCCCAACCTAGCTGGTCATAAATTACTATGAGGAAGAAATGTTCTAAGTAGACAAGTATCTTGTTAACAAAGAAATGATGAGCCAGTCATTACCTTGCTAAAGATGACAAGGTTTCTATTTACCCCACTGCTCTAAAAAGAACTCAAGAGAAGAACTTGATGTGAAGTACTGAGCAGACACCTTCTGCTCTCCACATCTCAGTTTCCTCATCTGAGAAATGATGACATTAAATTTGAATATTTCTCAGGACCCTTCCATATGTACTGTGATAAGTTTCTAATTTGTGGTGCTATTTCATTTTGGTGATATGAAAGTTATTACCGTGGATACATAATATGGAACTGACATTTTAGACTGTTTTTCTAGCTTTGCATTTGCCAGTTAGACAGCCGTGTATCAGTGGCATTGATTAGATATTTCATTGCCTTTCCTTCCGTGATTATTGCTCATCTTCCAAGTAAAATTTATTTTAAAACACCAAGGCAATGGTCTTGGAAATGAAATAAAGATGAATTGTAATTCTTTATGAAAAAAATGGGTTTTATTTCAGACCTGGTTTCTCATCATCTCTTTTGGCACATGCTACAAGGCACTGTGAAGAAAAACTACGCATAGCCTGAGTAAAGAAACATCTCATATTCTTTTTACACTCAACCTCCTTGCCAAGAATAAGAAAAACACATGTGATACAGATGGAATCCTGCACTTTCTATAATAATTTTAATTATAATATCTTAATAAACAGGTTGTATCAAGTCGCAAATATATCTTAAGTATATATTTACCATATAAATATATCGATCTGTCTACTTATCTAATCTTTTATTGACTTTCTTTACTTGCACAGTCACCATCAGGAATTTATTTGATGTAAAATTTACTGTAAAATCAAGATCTGAGCTTCCAATACTGGGAAGCCTTCAATTGGAGAGTTAGGAGCTATGCTAGGCATGTTACAAACATCATCCCACGTAGTATCCAAAACAACCAAATGAGTTCATTATTACTGTACCCACATGTCAAATAAGTTATCCAAAGTGCACATAGGTAGGTGAATAAAACATGATTTGAAAATGGCTTTGTCTGATTCCAAAGTGAATGTTTGTTCCCTGCTTCCTCTCAGTTTTAATTGGCAGTGTATTTTCGAATCTTTTAAATGTGTTTTTTTTTCTGATAACAAAAGTAACACATAAGTGTGGTGGGCAGAATTCTAAAGGTGCCTTCCCTCCCCAAGATTCTCATCACTGGTTATTCAATCAAACATGAACTGAGGTACTACTATGATGGGTTTCTACACATACAATTCAAGTTTCAAGTAAATTGACTTCAATAGATGGAGATTATCTGAGTGGACCTGACCTGATCAGGTGAACCCTTTAAAAGCACTGAGTTTCTCTGGCTGCTCATAGAAGTGGAAGACAGAGAGATTTGAATCATGAGGGAGATTCAATGTGAGAAATCCTGCTGCTCACTGTTGAGACCAGACCTACAAGAAGGCCCATAACAAGGGACTGTGAGAAGCCTGTAGGAGATGAGCCTGATACTCCAGCTGAGAAATGGGATTCCAATCCTATAACCATAACAAACTGATGTAACGTAAGTCCCATCTGAGCAGAAGCTTTAAATGTTACTGTGTGGTTCAGATTAAGCTCATAGTTCACGCTCTTCCTTTTTAGGACAAGAATAGGAACGCCTAACACAGGGGCTGTTCCTTTAGCCAAGGTCCCGGAATCAGAACATATATGGAACTAAATCAGAAGTAAGGAAAACTAAGCAGAGTCACAGTAGCTACCAGTGCCCTGAAACTTATAACATGTAATGCAATTTCAAAGTAGATGTTTTTTGTAAGTCATTGAGATTTGGGGGCTGTTATTGAGAAGAAATACAGGCACAATACACTGTTTTCATCCTGCTTTTTCACTTAGTATTTTGTAATATATCAGTTATCTATTGCCACTTAAAAATGTCAGCACAAACTTAGTTGATTGAAAGAATACATACTTATCATCACACAGTTTTTAGGGATCGGGAGTTTGATAACAGCTTAACTGGATCCTCTCTTTCAGCATCTCACAAAGCTGCAGTCAAGATGTTAGCCAATGGTGTGGTCTTATCTGAGGCTCAACCAGAGGAGAATTTCCTCTCAAGCTCCAGTGGTTGCTGGCAGCATTCCATTTTTTGCAGGCTATCAGACTAAGGGCCAAAATTTCTCAATGGCCATCTGCTGAAGATACCCTTCACTTTTTTGCCATGTGGCTTTCTCTATAGGAAAATCTCATGTCAATTTGCTTTATCAAATCCAGAAAGGGAATTTATGTCCTCTAGTAAGATTGGTGCTATGAACTGTGGAGCATTATCACAATAAAGATATTCTGTCACATGTGCTGTATTTTATTGATTATATGAAAGCCATAGTTACTAACCATACTCAAGGGGAAAGATTATACAAAGGCGTAAACTCCAGGAGGAAGGGATCATGAGGGACCACCTTACAGCCTGTTCACCGCAGATAGAATTTCTCATGTTACTAAGCATTCTTCAAAAAGGATGCTTTCTGCATTTATTAAAATGTTCATGTATATTTTTCTTTATTTTGTGATTGTCATAAAATATGACAAATGGTTTTTCTAGGGTTCACAAAATATATAAATTTTAGTGTTTACACAAGACCTCATATGAATGGATAATAATGTAATTAATCAGTGTATTGTTCAATAATTAGATGGTTTACTACTTTTAATTATTTGAATTATTCTGATAATTGTGTACATCCATTTTTTCCACATATTTACTTATTTTCTTTATATTGCTAGATGACTACTAAATCAAAGAATATGACTTCTTTTAATGGCCTTAATGAATACTGTCACAATAATTTCCAGAAATGTATAACAATTTACAATTCAAATGCCCATCAGTAATGCACTGTCTTACCGTAACTCAGCATGTGTGTGTCTCTTCACTAACAATAGGATTCTATACCACAAAATTGCTAAAGATTCTGCCAAAAGTCCCCTAGACCTAATAAATGACTTTGGTAAAGTTTCAGGTTACAAAAGCAATGTACAAAAATTAGCAGCATTTAGTTTTTTTCTTTTTTTTTAAATTTTACTTTAAGTTTTGGGATACATATGCAGAACATGCAGGTTTGTTACACAGATATATGTGTGCCATGGTGCTGCTGCACCTATTGACCCATCTTCTAAGTTCCCTCCCCTCACCCTCCACCCCTCAACAGGCCCCAGTGTGTGTTGTTCCCCTCTCTGTGTCCATGTGTTCTCATTGTTCAACTCCCACTTATGAGTGAGAACATGCGGTGCTTGGTTTTCTATTCCTGTGTTAGTTTTCTGAGAATGATCATTTTCAGCTTCTGATTTTTTGAGATACGTTCTATCAATACCTAGTTTATTGAGAGTTTTTAGCATGAAGGGGTGTTGAATTTTATTGAAGGCCTTTTCTGCATCTATTGAGATCATCATGTGGTTTTTGTCATTGGTTCTCTTTATGTGATGAACTACGTTCATTGATTTGAGTATGTTGAACCAGCCTTGCATCCCAGGGATGAGGCTGACTTGACCGTGGTGGATAAGCTTTTTAATGTGCTGCTGGAATCAGTTTGCCGATATTTTATTGAGAATTTTCACATCAATGTTTATCAGGGATATTGGCCTGAAATTTTCCTTTTTAATTGTGTCTCTGCCAAGTTTTGGTAACAGGATGATGCTGGACTCATAAAATGTGTTAGGGAGAAGTCCCTCTTTTTCTATTGTTTGGAATAGTTTCAGAAGGAATGGTACCAGCTCCTCTTTGTATCTCTGGTAGAATTCGGCTGTGAATCTGTCTGGTCTTAGGCTTTTTTTGCTTGGTAGGCTATTAATTACTGCCTCAATTTCAGAACTTGTTATTGGTCTATTCAAGGATTCGACTTCTTCCTGGTTTCATCTTGGGAGGGTGTATGTGTCTAGGACTTTAACCATTTCTTCTAGATTTTCTAGTTTGTTTGCATAGAGGTGTTTATAGTATTCTCTGATGTTAGTTTGTATTTCTGGGGGATCAGTGGTGATATTCCCTTTATCACTTTTTATTGCGTCTATTTGATTCTTCTCTTTTCTTCTTTATTAGTCTGGCTAGTGGTCTACCTAGTTTGTTAATCTTTTCAAAAAACCAGCTCCTGGATCCCTTGATTTTTTGAAGGGATTTTCATGTCTCTATCTCCTTCAATTCTGCTCTGATCTTAGTTATTTCTTCTCTTCTGCTAGATTTTGAATATGTTTGCTCTTGCTTCTCTAGTTCTTTTAATTGTGATGTTAGGGTGTCAATTTTAGATCTTTCCTGCTTTCTCCTGTGGGCATTTAGTGCTGTAAATTTCCCTCTAAACACTGCTTTAGCTGTGTCCCCAGGATCCTGCTACCGGTAGTGTCTTTGTTCTCATTGGTTTCAAATAACTTATTTATTTCTGCCTTCATTTCGTTATTTACCCAGTAATCATTTAGGAGAAGGTTGTTCAGTTTCCATGTAGTTGTGCGGTTTTGAGTGAGTTTCTTAATCATGAGTTCTAATTTGATTGCACTGTAGTCTGAGAGATGGTTTGTTTTGATTTCTGTTCTTTTGCATTTGCTGAGGAATGTTTTACTTCCAATTTTATGGTCGATTTTAGAATACGTGTGATGTGGTGCTGAGAAGAATGTATATTCTGTTGATTTGGGGTGGAGAGTTCTGTAGATGACTATTAGATATGCTTGGTCCAGAGCTGAGTTCAAGTCCTGAATATCCTTGTTAATTTTCTGTCTCATTGATCTGTCTAATATTGACAGTGGGGTGTTAAAGTCCCCCTCTACTATTGTTTAGGAGTCTAAGTCTCTTTGTAGATCTCTAAGAACTTGCTTTATGAATCTGGGTGCTCCTGTATCAAGTGCATATATAATTAGGATAGTTAGTCCTTCTTGTTCCATTGATCCCTTGACCATTATGTAATGCCCTTCTTTGTCTTTTTTTTGTCTTTGTTGGTTTATAGTCTGTGTTATCAGAGACTAGGATTGCAACCCCTGTTTTTTTTTTCTGCTTTCCATTTGCTTGGTAAATATTCCTCCATCCCTTCATTTTCAGCCTATGTGTGTCTTTGCACGTGAGATGGGTCTACTGAATACAGCACACTGATGGGTCTTGACTCTTTATCCAATTTGCCAGTCTGTGTCTTTTAATTGGTTCATTTAGCCCATTTATATTTAAGGTTAATATTGTTATGTGTGAATTTGATCCCGTCATTATGATGCTTGCTGGTTACTTTGACCGTTAGTTGATGCAGTTTCTTCATAGTGCTAATGGACTTTACAATTTGGTATGTTTTTGCAGTGGCTGGTACCAGTTTTTCCTTTCCATATGTAGTGCTTCCTTCAAGAGCTCTTGTAAGGCAGGCCTGGTGGTGACAAACTCTCTCAGCCTTTGCTTATCTGTAAAGAATTTCATTTCTCCTTCACTTATGAAGCTTAGCTTGGCTGGATATGAAATTCTGGGTTGAAAATTCTTTTCTTTAAGAATGTTGAATATTGGCCCCCACTCTCTTCTGGCTTGTAGGATTTCTGAAGGGAGATCCACTATTAGTCTGATGGGCTTCCCTTTGTGGGTAACCCCATCTTTCTCTCTGGCTGCCCATAACATTTTTTTCCTTAAATTCTACCTTGGTGAATCTGTTGATTATGTGTCTCAGGGTTGCTCTTCTTGAGGACTATCTTTGTGGTGTTCTCTGTATTTCCAGAATTTGAATGCTGGCCCATCTTGCTGAGAGGTGACAGCATGCTGGCAGCCCTCACTCGCTCTCGACACCTCCTCAGCCTCGGCGCCCACTCTGGCCATGCTTGAGGAGCCCTTCAGCCCACGGCTGCACTGTGGGAGCCCCTCTCTGGGCTGGCCGAGGCCAGAGCCGGCTCCCTCTGCTTGTGGGTAGGTGTGGAGGGAGAGGCGCGGGTAGGAACCAGGGCTGCACATGGCACTCGCGGGCCAGCGCAAGTTCCAGGTGGGTGCAGGCTCGGCAGGCCCTGCACTTGGATCGGCCCCGGGCAGTGAGGGGTGTAGTACCTGGGCCAGCAGCTGTGGAGGGTGCACCAGGTCCCCCAGCACTGCCGGCCCGCACCACGCTCAAATTCTCACCAGGCCTCAGCCACCTCCCTGCGGGGCAGGACTTGGGACCTGCAGCCCACCATGCCCGAGCCTCCCCCCACCCACCCCATGGACTCCCGCATGGCCAGAGCCTCCCCAACGGGCACCACCCCCTGCTCCGCGGCACCTGGTCACATCCACTGCCCAAGGGCTGAGGAGTGCGGGTGCATGGTGTGGGACTGGCGGGCAGCTCTGCCCACGGCCCTAGCGTGGGATCCACTAGGTGAAGCCAGCGGGGCTCCTGAGTCAGGTGGGGACTTGGAGGAGTTTTATGTCTAGCTGGAGAATTGTATATGCACCAATCAGCACTCTGTGTCTAGCTTGGGGTTTGTGGATGCACCAATCAGCACTCTGTATCTAGCTAATCTGGTGGGGACTTGGAGAACTTTTATGTCTAGCTAAAGGATTGTAAAAGCACCAATCAGCACTCTGTGTCTAGCTCAAGGTTTGTAAACACATCAATCAGTGCTCTGTGTCTAGCTAATCTAGTGGGGACTTGGAGAACTTTTATGTCTAGCTGAAGGATTGTAAATGCACCAATCAGCACTCTGTGTCTAGCTCAAGGTTTGTAAACACACCAATCAGCACCCTGTGTCTAGCTCAAGGTTTGTAAACGCACAAATCAGTGCTCTGTGTCTAGCTCATCTAGTGGGGACTTTTGTGGTGATTGTAAATGCACCAATCAGTGCTCTGTGTCTAGCTAATCTAGTGGGGACTTGGAGAACTTTTGTGTCTAGCTAAAGGTTTGTAAATGCACCAATCAGCACCCTGTCAAAACGGACCAATCAGCTCTCTGTAAAATGGACCAATCAGCAGGATGTGGGTGGGGCCAGATAAGGGAATAAAAGCAGGCTGCCCCAGTCAGCAGTGGCAACCCACTCAGGTCCCCTTCCACGCTGTGGAAGCTTTGTTATTTCGCTCTTCACAATAAATCTTGCTGCTGCTCACTCTTTGGGTCCACCCTGCCTTTATGAGCTGTAACACTCACTGCGAAGGTCTGCAGCTTCACTCCTAAAGCCAGGGAGACCACGAACCCACCAGGAGGGATGAACAACTCCGGACGGGAGGAACGAACAACTCCAGACGTGCTGCCTTTAAGAGCTGTAACACTCGCCACCAACGTCTGCAGCTTCACTCCTGAAGTCAGCGAGACCACGAACCCACCAGAAGGAAGAAACTCCAGACGCATCTGAACATCTGAAGGCACAAACTCCGGACACACCATCTTTAAAAACTGTAACACTCACCGCGAGGGTCTGCAGCTTCATTCTTGAAGTCAGCGAGACCAAGAACCCACTAATTCTGGACACATTGCTAGGCTGTGGAAGTTCTGCTGGATAATATCCTGAGAGTGTTTTCCAACTTGGTTCCATTCTCCCTGTCACTTTTAGGTACACCAATCAAATGTAGGTTTGGTCTTTTCACATAGTCCCATATTTCTTGGAGGCTTTGTTCATTCCTTTTCATTCTTTTTTCTCTAATCTTGTCTTCACACTTTATTTCATTAAGTTAATCTTCAATGTCTGATATGCTTTCTTCTGCTTGATCAATTCGGCTATTGATATTTGTGTATGATTCACAAAGTTCTTGCTCTGTGTTTTTCAGGTCCATCAGGTCATTTATGTTCTTCTCTAAACTGATTATTCTAGTTGTCAATTCCTCTAACCTTTTTTCAAGGTTCTTAGCTTCCTTGCATTGGGTTAGAACATGCTTTTTTAGCTCGGAGGAGTTTATTATGACCCACCTTCTGAAGCCTACTTCTGTCAATTTGTCAAACTCATTCTCCATCCAGTTTTGTTCTCTTGCTGGGGAGTTGTGATCCTTTGGAGAAGAAAAGGTGTTCTGGTTTTTGGAAGTTTCAGCTTTTTTGCCCTGGCTTTTCCTCATCTTCATGGATTTATCTATTATTGGTCTTTGATGTTGGTGACCTTCAGATGGGGTTTTTGTGTGGATGTCCTTTTTGTTGATGTTGATGCTATTCCTTTCTGTTTGTTTTCTTCTAACAGTCAGGCCCCTGTGCTGCAGGTCTGCTGGAGTTTGCTGGAGGTCCACTCCAGACCCTGTTTGCCTGGGTATCACCAGCAGAGGCTGCAGAACAGCAAATATTGCCGCCTCTTCCTTCTTCTGGAAGCTTCGTTCCAGAGGGGCACCCACCACATGCCAGCCGGAGCTCTCCTGTATGAAGTGTCTATAAATCCCTCCTTGGAGGTGTCTCCCAGTCAGGAGGCATGGTGGTCAGGGACCCACTTGAGGAGGCAGTCTGTCCCTTAGCAGAGCTCGAGCATTGTGCTGGGAGATCCATTGCTCTCTTCAGATCCAGTAGGCAGGAACGTTTAAGTCCGCTGTATCTGCGCCCACAGCCACCCCTTCCCCCAAGTGCTCGGTCCCAGGTACATGGAGTTTTATCTATAAGCCCCTGACTGGGGCTGCTGCCTTTCTTTCAGAGATGCCCTGCTCAGAGAGGAGGAATCTAAAGAGGCAGTCTGGCTACAGCAGCTTTACCGAGCTGGGGTAGGGTCCGCCCAGTTGAAACTTCCCTGCAGCTTTGTTGACACTGTGAGGGGAAAGCCACCTACTCAACCCTCTTAATGGTGGACACCCTTCTGCCCACCAAGCTGGAGCATCCCAGGTCGACTTCAAACTGCTGTGCTGGCAGTGAGAATTTCAAGCCAGTGGATCTTCGCTTGCTGAGCTCCATGGAGGTGGGATCTGCTGAGCTAGACTACTTGGCTCCCTGGCTTCAGCCACCTTTCCAGGGGAGTGAACGGTTCTGTCTCGCTAGCATTCCAGGCGCCACTGGGGTATGAAAAAAAAAACTCCTGCAGCTAGCTTGGTGTCTGCCCAAACGGCTGCCCAGTTTTGTGCTTGAAACCCAGGGCCCTGGTGGCATAGGCACCCGAGGGAATTTCCTGGTCTGCAGATTGCAAAGACCATGTGAAAAGCATAGTATCTGAGCCAGAGTGCACTGTTCCTCACAGCACAGTCCCTCACAGCTTCCATTGGCTAGGGGTGGGAGTTCCCTGACCGCTTGTACTTCCCAGCTGAGGTGACACCCCACCCTCCTTTGGCTTGCCCTCTGTAGCCTGCACCCACTGCCTAACCAGTCTCAGTGAGATGAGCCAGGTACCTCACTTGGAAATGCAGAAATCACCTGCCTTCTGCATTGATCTCGCTGGGAGCTGCAGACCGGAGCTGTTCCTATTTGGCCATCTTGCCAGCCACTCCCTTTAATTGTTTATTATTCATTTGGGTTGAAAATATAATTACTGAAGTTTTCAATAGGAGTTATTCTATAAAGTACGTTGTAATCTTTCAATAGAAATATGCACTAAATGTTTTCTTAACATTTGGATTAATTTTCCTTGGATAGTGATATACCCATTGAAACATTTTTGGTAAACAAATTTAGAAAACAATTTTAAAAGGTAGTAAGATGATTGAAAGCTGTTATTTTCAAAAATTGTAATCAGTTTCTGACTTACTGTGTTTGATGTGGCATATGCCTTTTGGTTTTCTGTTTGTTTTGTTTTCCATAACATGATATGACAGGGTGTTATTCTCACTGTTGATTGCAGGCAAGAGTACAAAAAATTATTAGAAGTTAGCTTGTGAGCATTTAATAAATGGAATTGTTGAACTATAGACAATGTCTGGGGTTCACTAAAAATGTATACCTTAATAAGAATCTTCTTTTGATTTGTTAATGTTTAGATGACAGTCATGAGAATGCAATAAATGCCTTGTGTCTGGAGGTCAGCGGGGTATCTTTCTAGGCCTTTCTTGTTTTTATGGTGTATAAAATAAAGTTATGTGAGCTTGATGAACACTGGAACAAAATTCCAGGGTCTACTTCTCGTTTGTCTTATTTTTAGATTTTTTTTTTCATTATCAGGTTTTGTGACTTCTTATAGAGAATGAGACAAGTGTCAGTCAACCTGTGGGAGAAATCCTGGGCCATGCCTTCTCTATTTTCAGTCCTCTTTCTTACTGTCTTTTAAAATATTTTTAGATTTTTATTTTGAAACAATTATAAATTCACAAGAAGTTTCAAAGATACGTACATGGAGGCCTTTTGTACCCTTCAACCAGTCTCTCCCAATAGTAAAATCTTCAATACACTACCACATTACACTATCAAAACTAGAACATTGACAGTGATGCAATCCAGAGCTTTTTAAGATTCAACACTTTTCTTTTGACTATTCTAGGCACTTTATATTTCCATAGGAATATTATAATTATCTTGTCAATTTCTATTAAAAAGGCTTTTTAGAATTTTGATTAGAATTTAGTTGAATCCACAGATGAAATTGGAAATAACTGCCATTTTACAATATTGAATCTTCCAACCGAAAATCAAAGTATAGATCTCAATTTTTTTCTTATGTCATTAATTTATCATTGTAAATTTTTGTAGTTTTAAGTGTACAAGTCATTTACATCTTTGGTCAGATTTATCCCTAAGCCTTTAATATTTTTAGTGATATTTTAAATTGCACTGTTCTTAGTTTCAACTTTCAGTTGTTGAAATTAACTTCCAGTCCACCCTAGGACTACCATTGGCTAAAACATTGTCTCTTCTAATATAGAAACTTCTCATATGTAACTGCTAATATATAAACATACAATTGATTTGTGTGTTGATCTCTTACTTTGCAATTTTGCTAACCTCAATTAATGTAGAACCATTTTTTTAGATTGACTTTTCTACATATACTCTCAGGTAGTCTTTGACAAAAGATACTTTTACTTCTCCCTTTCCAATCTGAATGCATTTTTTTTTCTTTTACACTGGACACAATCTCCAGTACAAAGTATAACTGTGCCCATACTGGTGCACATGTGGGTCTTAGATTGTAGCATCCTGCAGGTAAATACTCAGAACAACTTCCAGCACTTGAATATCCACTCCTTCCCCCACCCACATACTGGCAGAATTCATGTTGGGATACTACATTTACTATGAACATAGACCCCTGATTTGAAACAAGACTAGGATACATGGTAAAGAAAGTTTATTCACCAAAGTTTTGACAGACTGAAGGCCATTATTTCAGATTGGAGATAGGAAACTTAAAAGAACTACATGGACATTGGGTAAAAGAACATGGGTTGAAATTTGCCTGGCAGTAGCCTAAAAGTAAATGGTCTTCAAGGTGCATGTGAAGGAACTGTAGGAGGGAAATGGGATAATTCACATCTCCACCAATAATTAAATGTAGCCACACTAGCTTGGAGGGATTTGAGGTGAGACATCTAAAATACTAAGTCATGGTGAGGGCTGGAAGACAAAAGAATGAATGACTTCATAGGAATGACTGTGGGGAAGGGCTTGAAGGAATCATCCTCTCACTTCCATGTGAACCATGAACATTAAACATGGAGAAATGAGCAGCAGCAGATTAGTTTGGGATGCATCTTCAGGGGATGCTGAAACAACAACAGCATTTGGTTTCCTCTACACCCCTGTCATCCGTCCCCCACAAGCCCAGGGAGTGGTCAGCAGTGGTGCTTTGTGATGTCTAAGCCACCCTAGGACTGCCATTGGCTGGGACACTGCCTGTATGATCAAACAAAGCTCAAGAGTGTGGCTTTGCCTTGCCACCAGGAAGGTATACATAGGGAGGGCCAGAGCTCTGGGACATCCTCCTGGCAAGCTTCAATATAGCTGTGGAAGTCTGCAGTCTACAAGAGCCTACTATAGACATTCTACAACCAAGCAGAATCATGGAACAGCCGACTTCAAGCACCAATGGGGAGAAGAGGAAGAGCCCCTGTGAATCCAATAACAAAAAAAATGATGAGGTAAGATTGTTAGGTTTTGAAGGGAAGGTGAGGGTGAAAGAAAGACACACAGAGAAGGGACGGCTCAAACAGCAACACAGGAATACTGCAGACACCTGTGGAAGTGGGGGACCCGCTTAATGCCAGAACCCACCGCCGCTTACAGGCTGGGGTGCTTATAGGTATGGGTGGGAGGGGCCGGGGCAGTATGGCTTGCTGCCCGGCAGGATATTGATAAGATGTTTTTATGATCAGGCTGTTTGGTCCTTTTTCCAGTGGGATGTCATTGTGGTGTTTCTTGGAACTTTGCCCAGCAAGATACCATAGGAAAGTTTCTTTAGTTGGACCTGTGTCCGCCTTGTGTTACGACGATTAGGCAAGATTTTTCTCATGGCCCGAACCCCCGTGGAATGTTTCACTTTGATCAAGGTCTGCAAAATAGCAGGGTGCTTACTAAATGGTGGTTTGGACTCACATTCTTGCCTTCTACTTTAGTATAAAAGGAAGAGGGGCATTGTTGATTATCTGGCTGCTTGCTGCCGAATAGGGGAGCTGTAATCAGGGTTTGGGTTTTGAAGCAGGGGGTGACGGACTTCAGAGTTGTTTTCCTGGAGGCACTGGTACCGGACTTGGCAGAGGAGAAGGATGGTATCAATGTGTTGCTGGGTGGCTGCCTGGAGAGGGGAGTTTAGCCTTCGGGAGATAAAGCAGGATATGAAGGTGAGTATACATCGGCCAAATGTACTATCAGGAGGAGGAAGATTAACGGCCCTAAGAAAGGGACCACCTGCTATCCCAGTGCTGAGTGCATCAGAGATGTTTAGTTCTGCTAACACTAGAATGAGATGTACAGCCTGCTTAGTGTGTGTGGAGGAAGATGAGACAGAAGCTACTAAAGGAACCTGGATGGTCTGCTTGTTAGGCAAAGTGTTAATGTTTAGATTGAAACACAAGGGTGCATGTTCCTGACCAATTGGCCAGTAGGCAGAGATAAGAGTTTGTGCCGCAAAGGAAGAAGACACTAGGGGTGGACAGACAAAAGTTGTAGGTTATGGTGGCAAGTCATGAGAAGGTGGGGGTTGAATTCTGCACAAACCCTTTGTTTTAACTTTTATGTTTTTCCAAGTTGAATACCTGCCAGCAAGGGTAGCCCCTCTGAAGGCCTGATAGGAAATGTTGGTAGTGGAGGAGGTGAAGGCTGTTTGGTTTTGGAGAGAGAGCAGGAAATGGGTTTTTGTAACTAATAGCCATTGCGGTCCTGACAGCGCAGAAGGATACAGGTTGCAGTTGAGGGAATTGTTTGTGGATATTTTCCAGGGAGCGCCCTTGACTTGGATACATGGAGAGCGGCTCCGGCAGAAAGGGGAGGGGTTGATAAGAGGTATTTTCTGGAATCCGACTGGTAACATGTTTAGTTAAGAGGCTATGAGGTGAAGGAGGGTGACAGCCCTGTGTGTGACGGTGTGGGTGGATTTGATGGATTGGTGGGGGGGGAAAGGTGATTAGCCGAGCAAGATTATAAGCAGGTTTTGCGAATGAATTGGTCAATTAGGTGAAATGCAGGTTTATTTTGGACAGGGTTCATGTGGCCAGGTTAACAGGAAGGGCTGTGAACTACTGGATTTGTGTGGACAAACAAATTTAACAGTTGGAAGGAAGAGGGGAGTGTGACTGATTTAAGAGGCAGTGAGGCTGATGAAGGGGGCTCATCTGTTAGACGTTCGGGGTGGGGACTTAGAATATCCCACAGATAGAGAGGACAAAAGGAGAAAGAGGAGATTTGAGTAGGAGTGAAATTTTGGAAGGTGCCCTGAAGTCATATCTCCTTGATTAGTGTGACAAATTGGCCTGGACTATTCAGGGTCATGGGGAAGGGAAACCAGGAAAGATCTGAAATAAAGTAGGAGACAAAAGATTGGAAACTGGAGACAGAGAGTGTTATGGACTAAGGTGTTCTGGATTGGCAACTTCTGGAATTCTTGTTAAGTACAGTGAGGTTGGTCTTGTCAGGGAAGGAGAATAATTTGGGGGTGAACAAATTTCTAGATGTGGATCTGGTGCTCTTTTTAGTTTGAAATGTGCATTCAGTGTGCAAAGGATGTTAGCTTTGGCGCTGTGGGAGTAGTTAGCATCACCTGGTGAGAATTCCTCCACTTAGGTTGGAGAGCGGGGGAGGAGGAGTCTGTGATTCAGACCCAGCCCGCTGGTTGTAGGGACAGGGAGGAGTGTTTTGAGGATGGACTTTTAGGCTGGGTCAAGTAAGCATTTGCGTACTGTCTTATTAGATGTTGGGTGAGGTGTAACGCCGGCCAAGTATTCCATATAGAATGGGGGGAAAATACAGGGAGATTCTGGAGGATAAATGGAGCATTTGTACATGAATTTAAATGGGCTTAGGCTGAGCGCTTTTAGGAAATGACTCATAATCGCATGAGGAACAATGGGAGAAGTGAAGTCCAGGCCATTTTAACCTTTAAGGAGAGTTTGGTTAGTTGTTGTTTTTTATAAAATTTTTCCTGAAGATTCGGAGTGGTAAGGAATATGGAAAGCCCATTTAATGTTTAGAGCCTTTACCAGCTGTTGGTTAAACTGAAACAAATTGGCCCATTGTCTGACTGGATGCAAGAGGGGAGTTTAAACCGGTGGATAATATGGGTGGAGAGAATAGAAGCGATGGTGTGTGCCTTTTTGGTGGTGGTAGGAAAAGCTTTTATTCATCCAGAGAATGTATCTACTATTGTTAGAATGTATAGGAATCACTTTCTGGGGAGCATGTGAGTGATGTTGATTTGCTAGTCCTGCCCTAGTAAGTGTCCTCAGGTCTGGTGTGTGGGAAAGGAGATGGTTTGATAGCTTCCTGAGGGGAAGTTTGAGTGCAAAGGGAACATGCCTTAGTAATATCTCTGAGATGGGCAACCATGGTGGAAGAATGTCTAGAAGTTTTTAAAAGCTGGAGTAGGGGCAGTAACCGGCATGGAAATGGTTGTGCACATATGAAAGTACAGAAGGTTTTTTAAACTTGGGCAAGACACTTTATCAGTGAGATCGAACTATTTTTTCCTGAATGGCACCAGCCTGGGCAAGTGGGTTTTTTTCCTGCTGGGTATATACAGGGTGTATGCTGGGAAAAAAAATGAGCAATAACGATGGGGTTTTAAGGGCTGCCTGCCAGGCTGCCGAATTTGTTGAAAGGTTTTTCTCGGTTTTGGCATCTGTAGCCTTTCGGTGTCCCTTGCAATGGATAATGGTGGCCTTTGGTGGTGGTTTATCCACCCCCAACAGCTTATGTGTAAGTTTGCCATTTCTTATGGGGGTTCCTTTTGTAGTTAGGAAACCCTGTTCCTGCCAGATGAAGGCATGAGACTGTAGGACATGGTATGCATATTTGGAATGGGTGTAAATGTTGACCCTCTTTCCCTTTGCTAGGGTGAGGGCCCTGGTTAGGGCAACTAGCTTTGCCTGTTGAGAGGTAGCATGGGGTGTGAGAGCATTCGATTCTAGGAGTTTATCTTCAGCACTGATGGAATAGCCAGCTGCTGGACATGGCTGCCTAAAAGAGGTTCCATTAACTAACCGTGTATGTGTTCCCTGCAAAGGGGCATCTGAAATGTGTTGGAAGGGGGAGGAGAGGGAGTCTAAGAGGTCCAGACAGGAGTGAGAGAGCTTAGAGTCGGAAGTGTTTACAGGGAGAAGGGTGGCTGGGTAGAGAATTTTATGTCTCTGGAAGGTGATTAGAGGGTTACCTATGAATAAGGCATGCACCTGCTGTAAGCAGGATGGTGGGAGGGATAGAAGGGATTGGTGGTTTATGAGGTCCTGTAGATAATGGGAAGATGCAATAGTAATGTGTTGGTAGAGAGGGAGTTTCCGTGCATCTAAGGCCAGCAATGTGGCCATACCCAAGATTTTTAGTCAGAGTGACCAGCCTCGGATGACAGAGTCCAGTTGTTTTGAGAGGCGTGCAATGGCTTCTGGGGCGTTGCCATATGTTTGGCAGAGTAGTCCAAGGGCAAGGCGCTGGTCAGAATGTACATAGAAAGTAACAGGCTTGGTGAGGTTTGGCAGTCCCAGTGCCAGGGCCATTAAAAGGGCATTTTTAAGTTTTTAAGTTGGAGTTGATGGGGCAAGCTGGGTTCAGGGGTTTTAGGATGGGCCCATGTGAGGCTACGTATAGTGGCTTGGCCAGCAAGTCAAAGTTAGGAATTCACAGCCAGAAGTATCCCACAAGGCCCAAGAAGGAGGGGAGGTCCTTTTTTTTTATGTGGGGAAGGGGCATGTCCCAAATTGGCTCCTTTCATTGGGTTGGGATGGCTCGAGAATTAGGGGTTAGAACAAACCCAAGGTAAGTAACTTTGATTTGGGTACCTGAGATTTTGTGGGTTAGGCCCAATATACTTGATTATGAAGGAAGTTTAAAACCTGAGTGGTGTGTTGAATGGACAGGTTAAGAAAGGGGCTACAGAGAAGGAGGTCATTGACATACTGGAGGAGGGTACTAGGAGCAAGGGGAAGTTCAGCTAGGTCCTTGATGAGGGCCTGTCTGAACAGGTGGGGCCTATCCCGGAACCCCTCTAAGAGTACAGTCTAGGTGTAAGTCCATGTGTAAGTCCTGTAAGAGTACAGGACATGTGAGTATTAGGATTTGACCAAGTCAAAGCAAAAAGACTTTGGTAAGCCAGATTTAAGGGAATAGTGAAATAGTTGTCTTTTAGTTCAATACAAAGGAGTGTGTGGTAGATGGGGCAATACGGTAGAGTAGAGTATATTGGTTGAGGACCACTAGATGGATTGGTACCACGGCCTGGTTAACGACTTGGAGATCCTAGACAAAGGGGTAAGTCCCGTCTGTCTTTTGGAAAGCCAGAATAGGGGTGTTGTGGGGAGAGTTAACAGGCTTGAGAATATGAGCTTGTAAAAGTTTACAGATAATAGGTTTGAGACCCCCTAAGCAAGGCTGGATTAAGGGGATATTGAGACTGATGAAGGAAAATGGAGGGGTTTTGAAGGGTTATTTTAACTGGGATGTGATGTGTGGCTATTGTGGGTTTAGAAACATTCCAAGCTTTAGAATTAACAGAAGGTAACAGGGTGGATAATGAGGATGAGTGGGGGGAGAGGGAAGCGTTTGGGTGTCAGAGTAAAATAAAAGGGGTAGAATTGTAGGAGCCACATTGCATGGAGTTCTGGAATTTACTTAATATGTCCCATCCCAAGATAGGGGTAGGGGACTGAGGGATAACCAGGAAAGAGTGGGTGAAGGGGGCTGCTGAATAGGTTGTATAATAAAGGACCAGTCTGTGCCTAGAGGGGATTTTATTGATTCTCACAATAGAGATCGAAGAACAGAAAAAGGGTCTAGAATATTCTGGTCAAACTGAGTAACTAGTTGTCCTATTGAGTATCCAATAGGAAAGACATGGGCTTACTAGAGACTGACAGAATTACCCTGGGTTCCGAGGTGGTGATGGCAGTAGGGGCGGTGGACTCCAGGCCCCACCTGTCTTCAGGTACAGGTGGTGAAGCAGGATGAAGAGTTTCAGTGAGCACAGTCTGACTTCCAGTGTTGCTTGATACCACAGATGGGGCAAGATTTCCAGAGTGTCCTGGGATTAGGCTAGGCTTTTGCCCAGTGTCCCTGTTAGACGAACTTGTAACAGGCTCCTGGAGTTGACTGTTGCCAAGTTGAG